>NC_000016.10:63047348-63350378 GCF_000001405.40 Homo sapiens
GTCAATTTATTATTGGCTCGTTTGTCATTCACAAGTATGTTGTTTAATTTCCATGTATCTGTGAAGTTTCCAGTCAGTGTTCCTCTTGTTATTGATTTCTAGTTTTATTCCATTGCAGTCTGAAAAGGTACTTGATAGGATTTCAACTTTTTTGAACTTATTGAGACTTGTTAAATGGCCTAACATATGATCTAGTCTGAGGAATGTCCCATGTGCTGATAAAAAAGATGTGTATTCTGCAGCAGTGAGTGAAATGTTCTGTAAATGTCAGTTAGGCACATTTGGATATATGCAACTTTTTGAGGAGTTTTGCTATAAAGGACAGAAGGAAGATGAAGTGATACTAAGAAAGTGATGCACAGAGGAAGTTTTTATAAGATGGGAGAAATAACAGTACAGTTTTTGTTGACATGATTACCTAAAAGAAATAGAAGAAATTTTGCAGGAATATAGCAGGCAATGTTGCCATCCTAACCATAATCCTGTGGCTCATCCTAGAGGTCAGCTCAGCTGTGGTGGACGGGTCCCTACTTTCTCTCATCCAGATGTCTCCTTACCTTCAGTACCTCTGTCTCTATGCTGGAGGGCTATTTCTGGATCATGGTAGTCCAGAATTCCAGAAAGTTAATACTCATAGGAGTAACTCTTAACTAGTATGAGATGGAATTGGTGGACAAGTCACCCAGCTTCCTCTTCCCTCAAAGAATGCTATTTTGTCATGTTATGCAACTTCTCTCTGGAACCCAGGGAGATTGAATCTGAATTGTTAGTCTCCTCCCTTTCCTGTCTCATTTCCTAATTTCTTCAGTGTGGTTCCTGGAATCCCTGTTAATGCAAAATACTGGCTGGCTGGGCATGGTGGCTCACACCTGTAATCCCAGCACTTTGGGAGGCCAAGGCGGGCAGATCACCAGGTCAGGAGTTGGAGACCAGCCTGACCGACATGGTGAAACCCCATCTCTACTAAAAATACAAATAATTAGCCAGGCATGGTGGCATGCCCCCGTTGTTATCTCAGCTACTCAGGAGGCTAAGGCACTAGAATCGCTTGAACCCAGGAGGCGGAGGTTGCAGTGAGCGGAGATCAAGCCACTGCACTCCAGCCTGGGCAACAGAGCAAGACACCATCCCAATAAAATAAAATAAAATACTATAAATAAAGCAACATATTTGCTTCCAAATAGTTGACTTTGGATCTGCTTTTAGGTAAACCCAAATTAAGACAAGGAGGAAAAATAAAGGGAATTTGCTTCAACTCCTTTGAATGATTGTGAATGTGAGAGTTTAAGGGATCTATTTCAAAAATGAAAGGTTTCTCCTTATTTAAGATAATGGCCAGTACATTTAAGGCAATAGATGAGAATATATGTATGTAGATCGAGGTAGTATGGTAAGATGTGGTGGTAAGAGCCTGTGAGAATTCTTTTCCAAATGCTTTTTTATTCTCAAATCATTAATTGAAAGTGAGGAGAGAAGGGGAATATTTTAGAAGTTTGAGTGATTAAAAAAGTTCTAAAAAACTTATAGAGGTAAGTGGACTAAGGGAAAACCATAGGATTGCCAAGGTTCTACATGAGGTTAAATTAACCTCTTTAATTCTCTCTTTAATTAAATTAAAGAGAGAATAAGAGTGTCTTATCTGTCCAAGTTTTGCTGTGTAGATGTAGACATGAAGAAAGCATGGAGTTAACATCAAGTGTGCTTGAAGTTTTGCCAAACGAAGATGGGAGCTTAGACAAGGAAATGTAGGATGTATACAAAAGAGTAATATGAGAACTGTACCATAGAAACAATATGTAAAGAGGAAAGTGTGAACATAGAGGAAAGGTTTGTGACAGAGAATAGTGTAGAATAAATGGATTGTAGAACAGGATGAGGTCTGATAACCTTACAATAGAGAATGAGAAGAATGTGCCGTTAGAATTAGGGGCAAGATTGTGAGAATGACAATGGAGGGGACAGATGGGACAGGGACATAATTATAAATATAGCTAATGTTTCCTGAGGAGATCCATCTTAGCACTTCACAAAACAAATTATCTCACTTAAGTCTTATAAAACTCCCATAGACAGCACTATTATATCTATCGTTGCAAATTAGTAAAAAAAAATAGAAAACTTAAAAGCATTTCCTTAATATATTAATATGTCTGGGAGAGGTAGATGTTAGGGCCAGAATTCAATCTCAGATCCTTCTAAATCTTTCACATTTAAATTATTTTCTTACAAAATGATATAATTATTTTTTTAAAAAAACATGATTCTAGACACAAAGTAGGTGCTTAATAATTACTGATAAGGAAGAGATCACTAAAATCATTCTGTGTGATACTTGGGCAATTCTGTCTATGAAATCTGGCTTTGAAATATTTTATTGGCCAGGCGGGGTGGCTCACACTTGTAATCCCAGCACTCTGGAAGGCCGAGGTGGGCAGATCACTTGAGGTTAGCAGTTTGAGACCAGCCTGGCCAACATGTTGAAACTCTATCTCTACTAAAAATACAAAAATTAGCCAGCTGTGGTGGTACATGCCTGTAGTCCCAACTATGTGGGCGCCTGAATCGCTTGAACCGGGAGGTGGAGGTTGCAGTAAGCTGAGGTCACGCCGCTGCACTCCTGCCTGGGCAACAGAGTGAAACTCCTTTTTCAAAAAAGAAAAAAAGAAAAAAAAAAAAGAAAGAGAGAAAGGAAGGAAAGAAAAGAAAGAAAAAGAAAGAAACGAAAGAAAGAAAAAAGAAAGATAAATATTTTATCTCTGAAAAAAAAAACCTGCAATATTTTTCCATATAGCAAAACCTGTGGGCACTGATAAATACATACTATAGTGTGTGTGTGTGTGTGTGTGTGTTTACAATAATGTATATGTGTGTTAGATTTATTTTCCTGCAAATAAACCCCTCATCTCATGCCTCAAGCAGTGATCTTGTCAGTTCTCATAAGCTAAACACAATCAGCACAGATCAGTATGTGCCTGGATTCAACTCCAGGGATAAGGCAGGTGCAGGTCTGGAGCTGACCTGATGTTTCAACAGGTATAATTCTTCTGTAAGTGCTAGGTGTGAAAAACACACTGGTAGCAGTATGTCCTGCTGTATCAGACCTCAGATTGTTTGAATACTGCACTCCAGCTTTTAACCACTTTCTCTACCCGCACACTTAGTAGCAGGCAATGTCACCTACATGACATTTGGCTGGGCTCAGCTCCTCTTGCACCCCACCTCTTTGCACCTGGACAGAAAATGAAAGTGCTCATAGAATAAGCATCACAGGTGACAGAGCACCAAGACTCAGAACTAGAGACTGACAGGAAATACTTCATGAACCATGCATGGCTGAGATTTCCTTGTGAGCTGAAGAGAGCTAAAAGCCTAATTCAGCTCATTTCTACTCATTAATCACAAGAGATGAATGGTGTCTGCTGTCCCAAATTTCACTTGCAGATGGAAATTAATTAGTAGATTATTCACTTAAAGTGTTTTTATACATTTTTTGAATTTCTTCTATATCTTAGTCATTAGTTGTAATCTTGCTTTTATTTTCTCATTTAACCCTGATAAAATTCCTATACAGTAAATAGTCTTACAGACGGCTCTTTTCATTTTATGCACTCATTATTCAATTCCCTTTATTCTGGTGAATACATTTATGTGTCTCCGCTATCAAACTGGCATCAGGCTTACTGCCTGCACACTTTAGGGATGGATTGCGAGCTGTAATTCAAGACCAGTCAATCAAAGTACATTGTTCACGGACAGACAAATGTTCCAAGAGGCCAATGAGATAAACTGGAAATATTGTTGAAACTGAGGAGAAGGAAAATGTTTTTACCCAATATGATGATGTGAGAGGAGAGCTGCTGGGGACCACTTACCCATTCCTTTCGAGAGCTTGCCTTAGAGAAAAGCCAAAATGGTGGAAAGAATGCCTGGTTATCTTTTGTTTCTTTTTTAACTTTGAATGAAATTTGTTCTTACTTGTAACCAGAATGATACTACCCCCTACATTCATTATTTCCATATTGTATCTAAGAAAATTGCAGCTCAGAGATGCTCAGAAGTGTCTTACTTTACACATTAACTGTCTTTTGTAGGAATGAAGTCACAATTGGGAATGAAGTAATACTGATTTTTAACCCACCTTTTTGATATAGCAACTAACTGCTGTCTGTTATTTTTGATGTAGTACTTTGAAATTATTTTTAAAGAGTTTTTATTGAGAATGAAAAATGTGGAAGAATAAAACTTATTTCCTAGCCCAAGGTAGATGTCCACTTCAAAAAAAAAAAAGTAGGAAGTTTTTCAACTACTTTGCCCTTCTATCTGAAATTCCTTCAAATGAAGAAGAAGAACAAAGCAGAGACAACTGGTTTAATGAGCTTGGAAAGCACTAACTCCATATACAACATCATTTCTACTAGTAGTGGTTATCATATTTTCATCACTTGCTATATTTCAGTCACCATGAAAAGTACTTCACGTATTTTCTCAGTGAATCTTCGAAATCACCAGATGTGGAAAATTCTATTCATATTAATTAGTACTCTAATTTAAATTAATAAGATAGATCCCCAAGAAGATACCATTTTTTCCAAAAATCAAAATCTAGCGAATATTGACAGTCCAAGATTACGATGGTGCCACTTAAGATCCAACTTTACGATGGTGCAAAAGCAACACACTTTCCAGGAGAAACCATACTTTGAGTACCCATACAACCCTTCTGTTTTTCACTTTCATTGCATTAGATATTCAACACTATATTATAAAATAGGGTTTGTGTTAGAAGATTTTGCCCAACTGTAGGCTAATGTAAGTGTTCTGAGCATGTTTAAGGTAGGCTAGGCTAAGCTATAATGTTTAGTAGGTTAGGCATATTACACGCGTTTTTGACTTACAATATTTTCAATTTACGATGAGCTTATTGGAATGTGACCCCAGTTTAAATCAAGGAGCATCCATAGTAGGTTGTGAATTTAATTCAGCTCTGAAATTATATCGTAGAGTTCATGCCTTAGCTATTCTTATATAGAGTACAATGAACATTTTATCTTCCATTACCTCATTTAAATTACATAAAACAAGCTTAAGTTAACTCATAGAGTTAATGACAGAAGATTACTTAGAGCATATTCCTATACAAAATTATTTTCCCCTTATTCTTTCGGTGAGTTTGTTTTGTTTTTCATTTTTCCTAATTTAGTATTTTCTTATTCTCTCTAGATCAAGGGGAGAAGACATATTTCACAGTGACATAGATGTTGTCTCCTCAGGATGCCCAATTCACACTTCATTTTTGACTTCTAGATGGGGACAAAATTACTTTTCCTCTCATTAGTAAATAGAGTATGATCCTATGCAAACCACAATGGAATGCATTAAATATAAAACCCATCTTCCTTGTTCTGTTCACACACACACACACACACACACACACACTCTCTCTGAAGTATGTAAACAAGATGTCATTTTCATTTTATTAATACACATACTGAGGCAAAGGAAGTAAAGTGATAATCATGATGATGATAACACTAATGAAAATCTACAGCCATAAAACACAAGGTGCCTTAAACGAGGAAAGTGACCTAACCCAATCTCACTATCAATTACATCTCTTTTCCTTTGCACAATGACACATTGATCCCTCTGATTACCTCTAATGCTTTGCCTCTATCCAGTTACTACCTTACTCCAATACAAAAAGGGGAGAGTTAATCCACAGCTAGAGTAGTTATCAAGGCTTATGTTCAATACTGGTATGTCTTAAGGAAAATGATATGAAAAAGAATCAAACAGATTTAGATTTTGCTTCTGATTCAATCATTTAAAAAAAATTTATCCCAAGCATCAAGGCCTGTTTCTTAAAATGAGAAGGATGCCTACTGCAACTTTTATGCAGTAACTAATAGTCCCAAAATTTTACAGTGAATGGAATAAAAAGAAGAGAGACACATAGAGAGAAGAACAAGTTAATTTCATTATTACCAACACAACCTGTGCCTTCAACACTACTCTCCTGTTTTGTTTAAGGTATTTAACCTGATAAGCCAGGTATGAATTCATGTTTTTTTTTTGTTAAAATTGTACTCATTTTGAGTGCCTAATAAATGCTTGGCAGAAGGCTTATACAGTAGAAACTCAGTAAATCTTACTAAATGAATAAAGAATTCATATTAGTATAAAAATTTTAGAAATTTCATTTATAACAAGAACATTGAAGGTTTATTCATATGATTTTGATAAATTACTACGGTACTAGCAAATGACAGAAGATAATTGCTTCACTTTTTGGAAATCACTTAATCATTTATTCCTACTTATTTATTTTAGAGGCAGGGCAAAATTTGAGACAGAAAAAGTTCAGCTCTCCAGTCATAAACTAATTTTATCAAAAGTGAAAATGATGATAGTAGCTAAGCACAGGTTGAATAGCTCTGATCTGAAATACTTGAGACCAGAAGTATTTTAATTTCATATTGGTTCAGATTTTGGAACCTTTTTACTCAGCATTCCTAATCCAAAAATATTAAATCTAAAATTCTCCAATGATCATTTTTTTTGGAGTGTCATGTTGGTGCTCAAAAGTTTTGGATTTCGGAACATTTTGGATTTCAGGTTTTTGGATCAGGGATACTCAATTTGTAAGCATATTAGTAAGAATTTGAAGTGTTTTCCATATGTGATTTATCTTGTTAAATTTTCTCTATCCATTTCTGAGCTAGATATGGTTGATTAAGTGCTAGGAAAAGATTTAGTGATTTATCCATGGTCATGTGAAAATTGTGGGCGTTAGATTTATACCTCGTCTTCTAATTTCAGTGTCTGTTGTTTCATGTATCTCACAGATTCTGCTTATTTATTGATATGATGAGAGAAACTCTGTCAATAGTCAAATATATGAATAAAACATTATATATAATTACTACACAACAATGAGAACAAATGTACTACTACTATGTCTATACACGATGTGCATTAATCTATTAAATAAAACATTGTACAAAAGAAAGCAGACACCAAGAGTATGTACAATTCCTTTTCACTTATGTGATGTTTAATTATAATCCAAGATATTAGAATTCAGGTTACCTTTGGGCATAAGAGACAATGACAGGAGGGAGTACAAAATGGAGCTTTTGGAGAACTGCGAACGTTCTGACTCTTGATTAAGGTTCTGTCTTCACAGGTGTCTTCTTTTTGTGACGTGGCTGCTCATATGTCTGTTCGCTTAGGAAGTAGAGGGTTTTCTGTATGTAGGCTATAATTCAATAAAGTTTTTGTTTGTTTGTTTGTTTGTTTTTGAGATGGAGTCTTGCTCTGTCACCCAGCTGGAGTGCAGTGTCTCAATCTCAGCTCACTGCAACCTCCGCCTCCCGGGTTCAAGTGATTCTTCTGCCTCAGCCTCCCAAGTAGCTGGGACTACAGGTGTGTGCCACCATGCCCAGCTAATTTAGGTCAGGAGTTTGAGACCAGCCTGGCCAATATAGTGAAACCCGTCTCTAATAAAGGTAAAGTTTTATTAAAATAACAAATGCTAAAAAACAAGATTGATAATAGGCAAATAATTACCATTTTCAAAATGTAAAAAAAAAAGTAAACTATAGGAAAAAAACCTGAAAAATTCATTGTGTGTATATATACATATATTTATATATATGTATATATATATTTACATATATTTATATATATGTATATATATATACATATATTTATATATATGTATATATATATTTACATCATTCATTACATCTTAAAATATGCTTTTGTTATATGGTGTTTTATCCCCATCTTGGTCATTTTTGTTAATCCTGAAATGCTTGGGAATTTCCAAAAGAAAGGAGCAGATTTTGATGTGTGCAGATTGATTCAGTGATAAATGTGTTGGATGGGGGGACTGCTTTGTCTCATCATTTCAGGAAAATATTATAAAAAAATTATATAATAATTTTACAGCTTAGATAAAAATCAACAAATTCCTTAAAGAAAAACTTACCAAAAGTGACTCCCAAAGGAAAGAGAATATTTGAATGTATCTCTGTAAAATTATAGTTTTGAATCTGTTATTAAAAACATGCATCTGAAAAAATTCTGGGCCAGAATGGTTTCACTGGTAAATCGCATCAAACATTTCAGGAAGAAATAATGCCACACTTGCAAAAATATTTTAAATAAATAGAATAGGTATACCAGTACCCCATTTGTTTTATGAAGTTAGTATAACCCTAAAATTAAAACTTGACAAAGATATCATAAGAGAATAAAATTATAGAATAAGATCCCTTATAATCCTAGACTTACATATTATTATATGTATTAGAAATTCATTTTCAGAAACATATAAAAGGATACTAGTTTATGACTGTGAAGGGCAGAATAAGCCCCCCAAAGCTGCCCAGGTGCTAATTCCTGGAACTTTCAAAATCAGGTTATGTGACAAAGGAAAATTAAGGTAGCAGATAGAGTTAAGGTTACTAATCAGCTAAACTTAAATATTAAATAGGTTATGTTGGATTACCTGGATAGAATCACAATGGTCCTTGTAAGTAGAACAGGGAGGCAGAAGACAGAGAACAGTGAGATGGCAGAGTGAGAAGGACTCAGTCCAATATTCTTGGCCAACAAAATATGACTTGCATAATTTGAGTCAATATAGGAGTTGGTATTAACTGTGGGTCTTTTTTAGAAAATTATTTTGAGTTCTGGGGTACATATGCAAGTTTCTTACCTAAGTAAACGTGTCATGGGGGTTTTTGTGCAGATTATTTCATCAACCAGGTATTTAACTTAGTACTCATTTGTTACTTTTCCTGATTCTCTCCTTCCTTCCACTCTCCTCCCTCTGTAGGCACTGTGGGTCATTTTTAAGCTTAAAAATTTTATTATTGTAAAAATTAATAAAATAAATTATATCCAATTTTAAATAGATGTGAATTCATGGAGATTTTAATAAATCTGCTACCTTGCCTGAATTTAAACACTATTAAAATTAGGCAAACCTGCACTGAATAAATTCAGTCAAGGACATTGGGAGGTTATATAAATGCCTGTTAATTTCAGGGACTATAACTTTAAAAAGAGGGTATAAATGATGAATGATAGATTTAATAATGTAGACAGGGTAGAAGGGCGTGTAAAATCTTGACTGCATGGAGAAAAATATTGATACATCCTGTATTCACATGCTATGGAAGATCTTTTGCACTATGGTTCCAATAGGAACTCTGGGGCAAGTGTATTAGTTCAGTCATACTCCAGGAGCTTGTTAGGAATGCAGATTCCCAGACCCTACCCCGGACCGAATGAAGCAGAATCTACATTGTCACAAGATTGGAAATGCGTGTTTGCATTACATTTTGATGATATGCTATTTAGAGAAGGAGCACGGTATTATAGTCAAATAAGTTAAAGTGATAGGGTTAGAACGTATATGTACAGAATCAGAATCATTTTTATTTTATTTTTACTTCTCTCTAAATTCCAACCAATATATGCATCCCAATATGCTCTACATTTCAGCCTATAAATATTCCTAAAATTTGACAAATTGATTTTATTTCTGGAAGTTTATTTTCTGCTAAATTAATACAAATGGAGGGGAGATAAAAATTAGAAATAACGTATCATTGTAATACACAAGACTTTAAAAGACAATGAATGTTTACCACATAAAGGTCAAATAAACTAGGGACATTCCTACCATAGGTTGGAAATTATCTAACATATTATTACCATAAAATTTATAATAATGAAAAGAGTTTGTGATATAAAAATGAATAATAAAGAAGCAAACTTATATATGTATTAGAATCACAATCAATCAAACGAACATTAAAGGTTAAGCATATTTCAAAGGAACATTTCAAGAGTTTACTCAAAGCCGAGTTTATTCCTTTGCCGGTGGAACTATGAGTCATTTAAAAATTTTGTTCAGTTGATATAATTTTTCTAATGTCTTTAGCCAGATATATTAATTTTAAAATAAAAAAATTAAATTAATTGGGAAAATACTTTTTGGACATGAAGACAACAAAGGCTAAAATTGGGATTCTTTTTGCTGAATATGAATAAACATACGTGCAATAAAATAGGGCAGGAGAAAAAATTCTAAGTTGTCCTAAATTCCTTCTCTTACTGAAAATAGGACAATGAAACAAGAATTCTGACTTGCCCTAAATTCCCTCTGTTTTTGCTAAGTCAGCATTAATAAGAGAGAAGGTGGCATTTTTGACATACAGTTCTGACTGGCACTCAGCACAGTTACTGCCCACCAATGTGTAATTGAAGTTAACTCTTGGAGAGTCATTTTCCCTCCCAAACGATAAATATGTAGAGAATTATCTGTGAATATAGCAGAGAAAAGTGGGTGGAAGGAGAGGGATCCACGGAGTTACTTAAAAATGTCTACAGCAATCTGTGACCCAGCTTCATCTTGGTTAGTGGAATGAAACTAAGAAATGACTCTGTTTTCCACTTCTCTTACAAAAGGTCTTGCTTTCTAGACCTCTTTGGTCAAAATCAATCTATGTTAATTTTGAATAGGCCAGATTGCAATTTAAATACAATGAAAATATGTGTGCCTATTATTTTTAACAAATTTTATCACACTACATTCATGAATTAAAATATTTGATAGCAAATAAGATCAATTTATAGAATCATGACAAACACACTTAATTTGTCTATCCTAAATAACATAGTATCTTAATTCTATGTAATTTGAAATGAATTTTCACACAAGATATCTTTAAAAGTTTAATATGGATAACTGAAAAACTTTGAAACACCAAACCAGCAACCCTAAGAGGTTCATTATTATCAATATACTACTACTCTGACTGCTATCTGTAAGCAAAATCATAGTTAATAAAGAAAAAAATGACAGTAACAACACTAAATTCACATTACCAATATTTTTACCATGTGCCTGTTTGCTGCTGAAGCAATCAGTCACTCACCAGAATGTTGTGAAGATGACTTTAAACTGCTCTTCCTGTTCCCACTCTTATCCTCTACTCTGGGAAAGTCTTCAGTCAGGAAGGCCACTGACCTTGGGCACTGAGACATTTCCCCCCACGCCTTCCCCCAAAAAGTAAGCAAGCTTTATCAGAATCTTCCATCCTTTATCCTTTGAAACAATTACTTCTGTATTCTAAAGCAATATTAGATAAAATCTCTTACAATTCAGTCACAAGTATGTCATATTATATAGTTTTACAAATTTAGCATTCTCAAGCAAAAGAAAGTAACATAACATGAAGCATGCACTTTTACCTCTTTCCATATGATTGATATAAAATCATTGATTCCTAGAATTAGAAGAGTTCTTATAATTACTTTGTTTCTCAGTAATGTTGATTTATTGTGTTAAAGAATGTGTTAAGCCCTGCACCCAAAGTTGAAACAGACTCTACCATCTGTAACACTCCTGAAAGAAGTTGATTAATAGATATTTCTTATACTTGAATGTAAAATCCAAAGTGGGATCATCATTCTATATTCACATAACCAATGCTTAAACATTATTAGGATCTTAATAAACTTAAGATGGCTTGGTGTTCATGTTGAAGTGGCTCCTTGTAATGTGGAATATAAAGTAAATACAGTAAGTGATAAGGATGAAAATATTCTTCCTTACATTAAACTAGTATCTCTTTGTATTGTCTAATCATTGCTTCTATTTCTGAGCATTATAGCCAACCATAAGCTGGCATCAAGCAGATTCAGACAACAAAAACTGCCTTCAAGTTACATCATTCAGTATTTGTGAAGAGTTATCACAAAATCAGTGGCAGAATTAATAGAGGCGGTGGTAGACATTGATTACTGTTGAAGGAAGGGGGGCAGGAAAATTATTTTAAGAAAGAAGTTAGTGGCTGGGCAAGGATTGTTGAAGCAATATGCAATCTCAAGAGTACATGTGAAGAGTTATATGAAGAAAATTAAAAGAAATGCATCCATGATGCAAAATAAAACACTAGAGTGAAGGGCAGAGCAAGGGACACATCACACATTTTCTTTGGAAAATTATTGAGAGGTTAGGTAAGAAAAACTTTTAATTCCTTGTAACAAATTTTTAATCTATAAATTCCAATTGTACCAATCACTTATCTGAACAACTTTTTATCCTGAGTTACATTTGACATAACCCAACAAATGGTGGGTAAAGATTTAAAATGGTGTTATTGTGTCAATATTTGTAGAATGTGCAAACTTTGGTCTAAGGTGCCTAAGCTATTTGAAGGTAAAATTACCTAAAATTTTTGATTTAAATATTTTTATCAAAATCAGTATTCTCCTAGAAGATATAGTAACCCAGAGGTGTTTGGATTATTGTCTACTCTTTAAAAGATTATTTTAAATGAAAAACAAGGCCCTTCCTCCTAGTAGATCCGCATTTGTTTGATTTGATTTGAAGGGTTCTCTTTCATGGGTTCTTGCCAAGATTTTTCATCACATCGCTGTGGGGGCTTTGCCCTGAGCCACAGAGTTACTTGCCCATTTTCACTTAATGGTGCTCATAAAAATCGTTGAATCAGAGCAAATGGTCTGTGTTGTTCCTACTGCCCCAGTCCTTCCAGCTCTTGTTAGGGGCTCATTGATTGCTATTGGGAACATTCGCTAAGGGTCGGTGGCTTGCGTATTGAGCAGAAACTTCTCCAAGGAGTTTTGTTTCTCTTTGTTTTTGCATTTTATACAGTGTTGAGAAATGCTTCAGATATGATCTTGCCTTTGACATCAAATTCTCTCAACTTGTTTTAATATCTCTCACTATGTGGCTTTCGGAAGCTTTCAGACCCTGTATCTTTAAACGTCCTTTGTTCATCTTTGCAAGCATTGTCCTTGTAATATTGAAAGTAAGATAGGTCTGCTACTTTTGTAATAAAAATGAACACACGGACTTATTCATTAAGGGCAATATTTTAAGTACACAAAGGACATAAGTACCTCTCACTGAGCTCCTTTTCACATATCAGCTGGGAACTTGGTACTCATTTAAGTTGTGATTCATTGGCCATAGGGGTCTGTCACTTGCCAACATCAGAGACTTACAGCCAGAAAGAACTGCAAAGGGTTAGAAATTTACATATTAGTACTCAGAAGAGAAGAGTAAATGCATCTTCTTGACTTTGTATAACTGACCTATTTTGCTTTATTGAGCAAGCATCCTGCTTTATTATTGGGTATGGAAAAGAAGTGATTTTTAACTTCTTAATTAAAAGTATTGTAGTTACTTTTGATTGTAAAATGTGCTTTTCAAGTAGTTCACCTTTTTATAGGTAAATGCTAAAACGTTCAGTTTTCATCTTTCTAGCGCTCCTTCTGAAGGTAGTGTCTGGGTGTGCAAAGGCTGGAAAGCTTCAGTGGTTTTTACAAAGGTGTGTGGGGGCATGGTAGAAATTAACCTGGAGTACAAACAGATACAAACTGGCTTTGTGGTCCGGTATAGTTGGGCCAGGCCTTGGTAATGCCTGTTGTCCTGCTGTAATTATTAATAGTGATCTTTTTACTCCAAGAATGGTGTGGTTTAGACAACACAGTGAATGGTCACTCTAAATAGATGAGGATGCCAGAAGCTACTAATGGTGACTACAGTCCATGGCAGAGCAGTTACTTTGTGTTTGATCTTATGGTCTGAAATCTAGTACACATATTATTTCACTTAGCTTGTTTATTAATACAACCAATATCTGAGCACTTTTCATGTGCCAGACACTCTCATAGGTTCCAGGAGATTTGTCATTAAACAAAACAGCTAAATCTCTGCTGTTGGGAAGCCTACATATTATTAGTGTTATTGATTTATGGTCCACATTTTGAGAAACATTAAATGATTTAACTTATTTTATAGATGATAATTAAAGTCCTCCAAAGTACAATGACTTGCCCAAAGTCAGGTAAAGGGTTAATGGCAATCATAATTAGAATCCTAGTGATGCACAGTATTTTCTGGATGCCTTCATAGGACTTGCAACAGGTGCACTGTTTACTCAGCCCGCCCTGCTTGACCCTTCCTGGGGGGTAGCGTGTGAGTGAATGAGTGCGGGAATCAGCCAGCCTCTTTGGTACTGGCAGGAGCAAACTCTGCTCACTCAGGTCCATTGCTCTCCACCCCTCGTGGAAGGGAGCGTGCAAGCGAGTGCAGGAACTGGCCACTTTAGTGTCGTCAGAAGCGAGCTCCATGCAAGTCCCACAGCAGCCTCCAGGTGGGGACGCCTATGACCCCAAGGCCCCAGAGGGCATGTTACAATGCTTTCTTAGCTCCACCATCCACAGACAGACAGCAGTGTGCTATCAACTCAGTGGACCCTTTGCCTCGTTGCCTGGTGTGGCTGCCCTTTGCCAGTGAGGGCAAAGGGACAGTGTGACAGCCTTTTTAGGTACCTGCAGTTGACACATCCCAAATTCTTGTCTGGTGCCCCAAAGGAATGAAGTCACTCAGATGAACTGAATGATAGTGAACGTGGAGAATTTTACTGAGTGATGAAAGCAGTGGTCAGTGGAGAGGGGAGCTGGAAAGGGGACGTGAAGGGTAGTTCACTCTCCCCTGAAGTCAAGCTACCTCTGCCTCATCCAGCCCCCATCTCTGAAGTCAAGGTGCCTCTCTCCGATATCCAGCTGCTCCTTCCCTACATCCAGCTACTTATCCCCTGTGCCAGCTGAGTCTGGGGTCTCTATAGGCACAGGTTGGGGGCAGGGTGAGCCGCAGGTAGCTTTGGAAAAGGCAACATTTGATTGGTAAAAAACATTATCGAGAAAGAACCAATTGGTAGAGAGCAGGCACACAGGGATAGAAGTTCTTACTTTGGACCATGGATTTCAGGCTTCTTAGCTCAAAGGTGGGGTTTTGCCAGGGACCCATCCCAATCTGCCTAGAGTTTCTCTGCCTCCTGCCTCTATCATTGAATCACCAGTTTCCCCCAAAGTAGCTTAATATTTCATAACAGGGATTCACAGATTACATTCTATGGGAAAAATCAGCGCACTGCCTGTTTTTATAAATAAAGTTCTGTTGGAACATAGCCAAGCCATTCATTTCTGTATTGTCTACAGCTGCTTTCACCCCACAGAGGCAGAGTTGAGTAGTTGAAACAGACATCAAATGGCATGCAAAGCCTAAAATATTTATGGTGAAGTCCTTTGCAGAAAATGTTTGCCAACCCCTGTTCTGAAATATAGGTATCTCTGCTCCTGACAATCTTATTTAAGCATGTAAAACCTGACAACATAGGCTTTTAGGCATAGACATTTACCACCTGTGTGGCCTTGAGCAAGTCAATTAACCTCTCTGAGATTTAATTCCCTCATCCATAAAATGGAGATGATCATTAGTGCATTGTTAGTAATGAGGATTAAATTAACTAATGTATGTAAAACACAGCTGGTAAAAGGAGAGAAGGTAGTTATTAACATTTCTAGTTGGATAGTTGCTCCATGAGCTGTCATCTGTAGAGGGTGAAGGTATGGGGTAAAAATTTTTCCTTTGTTTTTTGTGCCTTCAAAACCAACAGCTTCCTGGGAGTTTTTGCACATTATTTAATGTGAGGATTACATACAGCACTCAGGAGTGAGCAATACATCTGGGCTTTAGCAGCCTCTCAGCTCAGCAAGAGACACTTTTACTTATAAACTTGTAGATCACTACTATGAGGCATCCAAGCCGTGAGATTGACTTAATGAGAAAAGAGGAATGAGGAGCAATTACATTTCCATTAAGTGGACAACAATGCCCTTGATAAGGCTGCTGGAACCAAAGGGTCCTCTTTCCTCTCAGGTATGATCTTAGAAACACAGCCCTGATTGATTTATTAAACATGAGTTTATTTTTGCTTCTGAAATCAGCTATCTTCCAAGGTTACTCCATGATCACAAAGGACTAAATTCCAATTTATAGTGGAATTGTTAAGCTGTGAAAGTATCATGGGAGATTGGTTCTCAGCACCCATGAAATATGAACAGATCCTAAAAAGTGTTTGGAAATTCTCAGTGAGAGCCTTTTGCCATTTGTAAGCTGGAATTGAAAGAATCAAGGCCATAGATTGCTACAATTTTACCCAACTTCATGTTAATAATTTATAATCAAATTAGTTAATACCTGTCCAACACTTACTATGTACCAATGTTTGTGCTAAGGGCTTTATAAACATTACCCTAATCAAAACTTATGGCCAAATTATAATGTAGATAGTACATTACATGTATTTTATAGATCATGACATAGAGTCTCAAAGATTATCTACTTTGTGGTGGATTGCACAGCTACTGAACTACAGAGGTAGAACTGAGGTACACACCGGGTTTTCCGAAGTACAGAGAACATCCTCTGTCAGTAATTGTACCTTGTTTTCCAGGTTTGTGCTTATGCCTTTTTAGGGCTCCTCTGTGAAAACTTCCCTGACAATATTCAGATTTTACTTCATGGCTGGTATATTTCTACTTCCATCCAAAAATGACCAACAAAAATAAAATTTCTCTATCAAGATTCTCTTTGGTTTCCTCTTTTCCTTCTTTCTACTCATTGTCTCTTGTGCAAATATAGTATATTTTTGGTACAAAACAGTTATTGGCATAAATTTTCTGTTATTACTCAGTCTCTTACTACGATATGAATAACAGTCAATATTTAGTGTACATTATTGATGTTTTAGGCATGTGGCACAAAGTTATACATGCAATATCTCATTTAATCTCCACAATAACTCTGAATTAGATATTATCATCTCCATTTCAATGCAAAGAAATGAACTCAGAGACATTAAATAATTTGATCAAATCCACACCACTCCTAAAAATGAAGCTAGTATTCGTACCAAAATCCATTAATTTCAAAGTCTATATTATTTTAGCACATTTTCATAATTTACCTTGAGAGTCTATTTTCTGTGAGTTAAGGATATTCAGTCTTATTCTAATGTGTTCTGAAAAATACTGCTAATCACTTATTTCTAAGAGAATGCCTCATTCTATGTGGTTTTGAGTTTTTTTTGTCTGCCTTCATTCTTAGGCTGCTGCAATCTTTGGCTAATCTTCTTCCCTATCTCTATGCATCACTCTGCCCAGGTGTGGTGTACTGGAGCCTTTTTATTTAGCTTCTCTTTGGTGCTGGAAATACTAACTTCCAAAGTAAGTCTACATTTAAAATGCCTCCTTTAGCATCAAATAAATACTTCCTGTGAATCACTACTTGCTGTCTGTCCTAGTTACTATAATGCAAGATATTTTTGTTGTTGTTTTAAGTTTCCTTGTGTTGAGTGATGGATTCATTTCTTAAGCAAATTCTCACCAGAGTAGAGAAGCTTTGAAAAACACTTAAACTTAGTTGCCTGCTGGTGGCAAGCCAAAGATTGTTCTAAAGTGAAGAAAAATAAGACACAGAGGAAGCTCAGAAATAGCAGAGCTGGTGTAACATCCTTGATAGAAATTGAAATCAAGGGGATCTGGGTTTGGATCTCAATTCTCCTATTTAGGGAACATATGGTCTTGGGGAATTATTTAACATTACTAAGTCCTATTTCTAGTGTCTGAAAATACATCATCTGCATTTATTTTAAGATGGAGTCTCGCTCTGTTGCCCAGGCTGGAGTGCAGTAGTGCCATCTTGGCTCACCGCAACCTCTGCCTCCTGGGTTCAAGTGATTCTCCTGCCTCAGCTTCCCGAGTAGCTGAGATTACAGGTGTGTGCCACCATACCCAGCTAACTTTTGTATTTTTAGCAGAAACAGGGTTTCACCATGTTGGCCAGGCTGGTCTAGAACTCCTGACCTCAGGTGATTCGGCCACCTCAGCCTCCAAAAGTGCTGGGATTACAGGTGTGAGCCACCACACCTGACCCTCATCTGCATATTTCATGGAGTTGTCTGTTCAGTCTGTACTTGCTGAGTGCCTACTATGCGTTGATGTTCTTGTGAAGACTGAATGGGATGGCTGGCATAATGAATCACCTAAGCCAACACAAACCTTAATTGCCAACCGCCAATCTTCCTAGGGATGGGAAATTTCATTCAACTTTCTATTATTAGTTATAATTGTTTTAAAGGAACCTCTCTGAGTAAGAATTCTTAGCCCTATTAGAAGTAAGGTAGGTTGGGGACAAAAGGAAGTTCTCTGAGAATATGATCACAATACCCGGTCTGATAAAACCTTAATTTGTGAATTGTAAAAGTTAAATGTCACAACACATAATATATTCATCACAGCTGGTTAAAAATGTAACAGGTTGCCTTAATTATCGGTTAGAATGCAAACCATCAGAAACTGCTAGAAAAACAGGAAGTATATGGTCACAAAATGAAGAGCACAATCAATTGAGAGCTTGTGAAAAGTTCTTTCAGAGAAACAGGCTGCTAATAGAGATGTGGAAAATATATTTTAAACTCTCACTGTGATTTTCATGCAAAATGATGCCATGATACTAGCATTGCCTTAGGGAGACTGATCTCTGCTCATATAACCCTCCTAAGGCAATCTTTAGGGAAGATGATTTCCTAAACTTAACAACTGACTGCTGTGTTCAACGCACTTCCAGGCAAGTCACTTTTCAGAAAACACTGTTTTGAATGGTCTTGATTTCAAGTACTCCTTGATTTTCTCTTTATTGACTCCATGTAATTCTAACTACCAAGAACAAGAGGGGCTCTTAGACAGCATTGAGTTCAAAGCTTTTACTTGGCACACAGAAAACAGAGGCTCAAGTATGTTGAGACACACAGCTTGTCCAGGAGGAAGGTCTAGAAAAGTTGAAAATATGTATGCAAAATAGTAGCTACTGTTACATGAACAGCTATCATGTTGCAGGCACAGGGCTAGGAGGTCAATTCATTATCCCATTTAGTTAACGCAATTAGACTATGAGTAGATATTGGCATTTTTATTTAAGAGAGGGGAGAAGTAAAGCTTGGAAAATTGAAGTGACTTTCCCAAGTAACAATTGATTTACCTGTAATCTAAACACAGATGTTTGATCTCCTGACCCATCTTGTTTCATTTCTATAAATTACCTCCCTATTGATGTTTACTTTTAAAAAATCTCAGGTCATACGTAAGACAGTCTTGAAAAAGTTTGATATCAAAAACCACTAAGAGCAAACATTTTGATGTCTTTTTTCCTCCTTATTACCTAGGTATTTTGCTGTAGACTTGTAGTTTAGAGATAACAATTGTCAAAAGAAAAGTCAGAGTGTTTTACTTGACATGAATATTTTATTGAGAACACACTATTCCAGAACAGAGACTCCAAAATAGAAAATGGCAAGAAGCTCATCTCCTAAAGGTTATAGTTAAGGTTTAAAAAACGGAAAAAAAGAAGTTCATACATCTTGATTCTCATTGGTTATTTTACAGTATCTTTCCTTTTAGGATGATCAGAGCAGGTTACGTAGGTAATAGATGATTGTCTGCATGTGCTGAGTCATGCTTACAAGGAAATAAAGCTCAAGCTTCATTTCTGACATTTCCAGAATCGGTCTTTATAAGTTTTCTTGAGCTGGTGTGGGCCATTGGCTCAGAAGCAAAGGTTTTCCCTCCATTTTTATTTTTATTTAACATAACTTTGTAACCCAAGAAAAACACTCTTAAGGATTTTGTTTGTTTGTCTCATGCAGAAAAAAAAAACACTTGAGTGTGTTAAGAATGCTTAACCCTTTAGCAACCTGATGGATGATTTCTGGAAATACAATTTACTACACCTTAATAAGTTACTGAAAGTTTCATTCGATTGCTCAGAACACTAAGAAAAAAAAAAGTTGTTCTGTTCCATATTTATTCAGCCATGATTAATCTACTGTTGAATAATAATTTTTAATTTCCATTTCTTGAATATATTTATTAATTTACCTCCTGCCAATATATGGCTCTGGTTGCCACTATTTAGAACTTATTCCTGTTCTTCCTAAGTATCATTTGCATAATGGAATGACAAGGTCCATTCACTGGCAGTTGGTTGTGGGGTGTTGGACAGAGTGACTGGGTTGTAATTAGTGGCATCTGGCCTCTGGTTTCATTAGCATGCAAATGGAGCTACTAGAGACCACAAGAGCCTGGCAATTTCACAACAGTCCCTACAATGTATATCTGCTTTTATAAGCATATCAGTGGGATGGCTTTTTATAAAAGAATAAAGTCTGTACATCTGAATGAATTTGACTGCCAATCTTTGCATCCTAGAATCTTAAGGAATTTTCTGTCAAAGAAGAAAACAGGTCTGCAATATATCAACCTCAATCATTTCTTTCCATATTTTAGGCTATTAAAAATGTAATCCAAGCTCTTATTTCTGCCTGGCCTGTCTCCATTCCCCCCGTCAAATCCTTACTCCTCTCCTCGTCTTCTTTATTTTCCTTAAATAAATGATTTTTTTCAGCTCTATAAAATACGATTTTGCTTGTTTGTTTGTTTCTCATGGCATTACCTTAGGCAGGAAATAACAAGGCTCTCGATTTCTTGTTTCACTGTATCCAGACTCTTTGCTATGGTCTTCATGCTTCTGTTACAGTCACTGATGATGACAAGTAGTGATTGCAGCCAAATCTTATTGGATGGTTGGTATGTATCAAGGATTGTTTTACCCTCATTTAATCTTCTCAGTAATTCAATGATTTGGAACGCTTAAAGCTTTATTTAAGAGGAAAAAAAAAAACAGAAGAGAAAGAAAAATGAAGCTCAGAACAGTACTGTACCTTTTTGGAAGCCACCCAGTTCACATAACAGCCAGGATGTGAGTTCAAACCTCTCTGACTGTAGAACTCCATTTATTCTCATAGAGACTTTTCTGTCTCCCACAACAGATACATATTTGGTCTAAAAAGCAATTCTATGCTCTGAAGCTTCTTTTAAACAAGAGAATTTTATTCTTACAGAAATGTTCTGAGCCTCATGATTTGTAAAATTTGTCACAGTGACAACTTTAGATGTTTTACTTATTTGGATTTTAAACTAGATGTGTATGTGGTTTTTGCACCTTAGTGTGATTTTGCTCCTTATCATCTCATGGATTGACAACAATCTTTTTCAAAGGGTGAAATCCAGAATCTCAGTTTTGTGGGATATTTATTGGTGTCATATGACAATGGTGTTTCTTGATCCATTAATTGTGAGAAAACTTGGGTTAAACTTCATCAGAATGTTTTCTCTACAACAGAATTTCTAAAATCCTTTTCACATGTTAATGTGAATATGCCTTACTTCAAGGGAGGCTGAGAAAGTATCCCTTATTTGCCTTTATTGTGTGAAGTTCTATTTGCCATCAAGGAAGAAGTTATGGAGGTTTCTGGTTAAAGACTACTGGATGAGGATTACTCTGTTTCTAGTAAATCTACATGACCTTGGACAATAAATTAAAATGTAGCCCTATATTTTTCGAAGGTCCCCAGGATCTCTTCTTGAATCTTAAATATTATTTATGCTTTGATCCTTAGCAAGTAACTGAAATATAGGAGAGTGAAACATGTCTCAAATTGTCAATGTAAAAATGCAAGGAGATAATTAATGCAAAGTAGATAGTCTATTGCCTAGTGTAGAGCAAATACTTTCTAAAGAGTGGCTAATTTAAATATGAATCAACTTTTAGAACTTAATATTGTGTTCTTTTCCTTATGTACTACAACTAATTTTGAAAAGCCACAATTTGACTGACAGGAAAAAAACCCACTACTATCATCCTTAATAAGCATCAGTAATCAGCAGTGAATTAATAGCAGTGGCCTCTCTCTGTTGCTATCAATTACACACATTATTAATGGATTGACAAAAATCTGCCAAGGCGTAGATTGTTAACAGGAATTGACACCTCGGTTATTGCCAGTGTCAGAAATTAATCTTGGAGAGTGCAACCATGCTGCATTAAAATGCATGTTGCAGTGGTTCACGATGTGGAATAGAAGACCTTTGCTGTAAAGTGATTTAGGATGCAGGCTTGAGGGAACAATGCAGGCACGTGTATCTGAGAGAGGAGACATGGGAAGTGCCCACACAATAGTTCAGACACATACCAAGATCTATTCTATGAAGGTTCTGGGTTGTTAATCTGAACCCCTGTGCAGTTGTTAAATAAAACCTATAACAACTTGGATATTGTAGCAATTCAAAAATAATTTACTTTTAAATTATTAAATCTTAGAAAAAAAGAAAACCAAACATTTATTTACTTATTCTCAGAGTAATGTTATAGGGAAATTGAAGATGAGGAAGTTGATATTTGATATTTAAATTGCCCAAGTTAAGTTGCATTTGGTAAATGAAAGAGCTAAGAGTTTAACACACTTTCAGAAGCACAGGTATTTTTTCAGGATATTGCATTGTCTCCCTAGAGCTTTTAAGGTTTGAGAGAAATAGGTGGCGAAGGTGGCTAGGCAGAGGGGATAGTAAAGGGACTTCTGAAATAGTGCATGGGAAATAGCTTAACTGCAGCTTTTCTTACTTGCTCCCTGGGTGCTTAGTACAAGGCTGGCTTCACCATATACAGTGAGATGCCAACTCCATTTCCTTCCTTGGGAGGTCAATGATATTGGCTCTACGCTTACATTATGTTTCTAGTCTGCTATTCTGGCCTGCTAAATGTGTTGTGATTACAAGCAGCATTAATGAGGAGTTTGCCTGTGGTGACTCTTCTTACCAGCTGTGGCTGGGTTCTTGCTCTATTCTGAATCTCAACACTATCAACAGGATCCTACTGGTACTGGATCTTGTCCTGAGTTTCACACCAGGTTGGGTTCATAGATGTAACATGGTGAGAACACATCTTTCATCTGTGAAGAGTTGGGAATATCTCCAAGATTATAACTACTCATAGCCTTCCTAAACACCTTAGTAAAGAATGTTTTAATCACCAGTAAGTGATACAATAACAGAAAGAAGCAGTGTTTGTGGGATATTTATCTTACTTTGAAAAGATGAAAAGAAACCCCAAATAATTATACTATACATATATTTGCAAGGCCTTGGGAACACACTGCCCTCTCATCTTGTTTTGCTACTTTTATAAACTGAATTCCCAAGTTTTGCTACTTTTATACAATAAATTACCAAATTTCTCAGATACCATCTTAGATTCTCATCTCTGGCCTAACTTCAGCATCTCCTTGAATATAATTATCGGGTTTCTGCATATCCTTTGCTTGTAATTTGTCCATTGTTTTTTTCAACAAAATGTGTAGAATATTGGTTTTTGGTGGGTTGTTTATTTTCTACCATCATGAGTATAAAAATCTTATGTGGGACACTAATATGTTGTACTGTGTCCGAAACTGTGGCTATATATGCATTTCCTCTTTGATTCTTTATTCTTTCATTGAGGTAAAATATACATATACAATTTACCATCTTTATAATCTTTAGGTGTACAGTTCAGTAGTAAAAAACACATTTATATATTTTTCCCGCTTCACCCTCCTGCTCTTGTTATATTTCCCAGTCACCGATCCACTCTCCATCTTCGTGAAATTCAACTTTTTAGCTCCCATATATGAGTGAGAACATGCGACATTTGTCTCTCTGTGGTTGGCTTCTCATAACATAATGGCCTCCAGTTACATGCATGTTGATGTCAATGACAGGATTTTGTCCTTTTTTCTGGCTTAATACTATTCAATTTTGTATATATATACATATAGAATTTTCTTTATTCATTCATCTGTTGAGGGGCACTTTGGTTGATTCCATATCTTGGCTAATGTGAATAGTGCTGTAATCAACATGGGAGTGCAGATGTCTCTTTAACACATTGATTTGTTTTTGAATATATACTCAGTTATGGAATTTCTGTATCTTATGGTAGTTCTGTATTTAGTTTTTTGGGAAAACTCCATACTGTTCTCCATCATGGCTGCACTAATTGACATTCCCACCCACTGTGTCTGAGGGTTCTTTTTCTCCACATCTTTGCCAGCATCCATTATTTGCCTTTTTGATACAAGCCATTTAAACTGGGGTGAGATGATATCTCACTGTGCTTTGGATTTTCATTTCCCTGATGATTAGTGATGTTGAACATTTATTTACATACCTGTTGGCCATTTGTATGTCTTTTTTTTTCTTTTGAGAAATGTCTGTTCAGATCTTTTGCCCATTTTTAGTTGGAGCTTTGTTCTATTTGCAATTGAGTTGTTTGAGCTTCTTATGTATGCTGATAACTATTTTTGTCAGGTGAATATATTGCATGTGTTTTCTCCCTTCTGTGTGTTGTCTCTTCACTTTGTTGATTGCTTTCTTTGCTTTGCAGAAGCATTTTAGCTTGATGTAATGCCATTTGTGTATTTTTCCTTTGGTTGACTGTGCTTTTGAGCTGTTACGTAAAAATATTTGCCCAGACCACTGCCTTAGAGATTATCTCCAAACTTTTATTCTAGTAGTTTCATAGTTTCAGGTTTCAGATTTAAGTCTTTAATCCATTTTGATTTGATTTTTTGTGTATGATGAGAGATAGGGATCTACTTTCATTCTTCACATAGTTATTTAGTTTTCCCGCAACCATTTATTAAAGAGACTTTTTGTCCTCCATTGTATATTCTTGTATACTTTGTCAAAGATGGATTGGCTGTAAATGTATGGATTTATATCTAGGTTCTCCATTCTGTTCCATTGGTCTATGTGTCTGTTTTTATGCCAGTACCATGCTGTTTTAGTTACTATAGCTTTGTAGTAAATGTTGAAGTGAGGTAGTGTGATGCCTCCAGCTTTGTTCTTTTTGCTCAGGATTGCTTTGGGTATTTGGGATCTTTTGTGGTTCCATATACATTTTAGGATTTCTTTTCTATTTCTGTGAAGAATTTAGTTGGAATTTTAAAGGCATTGCATTAATTTGTAAATTACTTTAGATGGTATTGTCATTTTCACAATTTTTAAAAAGCTTTTAAGTTAAGGGGTACATATGCAGGTTTGTTATATAGATAAACGTGTGTCATGGGGGTTTGTTGTGCAGATTATTTTATTATTCAGGTATTCTTCCAATTCATGAGCGTGGAATTTTTTTTATTTCTTTTGCGTCCTTTTCACTTTGTTTCATCAGGATTTTATAGTTTTCCTTGTATAGATCTTTCACTTCTTTAGTTAGATTGATTCCTAGGTGATTTATATATTTTGTAGCTACCATAAATAGGATTGGTTTTTGATTTCTGCTTCAGGTTGTTGATGTTTGTAAATGTTACTGATTTTTGTATACTGACTTTGTATGCTGCAAACTTCCTGCATTTGTTTGTTAGTTCTAACATTTTTTTGGTAGAGTCTTTAGGTTTATTTAGGTATAAGAAAACTCCAAACTATGCTAATTTGACTTTCTTTCCAATTTGAATTCCCTTTATTTCTTTCTCTTGCCTGATTGCTTTAGACAGGAATTCCAGTATTATGTTAAACAAATGTGGTGAAAGTGAGCATCCCTGCTTTGTTCTAGTAATAAAGAAATGGCCTTCAATTTTTCTTCATTCACAACAGTGTTAGCTATGGGTTTGTTATATACAGTTTTTATTATTCTGAGGTATGTTCCTTCTGTACCCATTTTGATGAGAATTTTTGTAAAAAAAGGATGTTGAATTACATTGAATACTTTTTCACCATCTATTATTCTAACAATTATATGGTTTTTATTCTTCATTTTGTTAATGTGAGGTATAATGTTTATTGTTTGCAAGTGTTGAACCATTCACCCTGGTGGTACATGGTCCCTTTAATGTATTGTTGAGTTTTGTTTGCCAGTATTTTGTTGAGGATTTTTGCATGTATGTTCATCAGTAATATTAACTTGTTAGTTTTTTTGTTGTTGCGTCCTTGTCTGGTGTTGGCATGAGGACAGTGCTGGCCTCATAAAATGAATTTGGAAGTATTCCCTCCTCAATTTTTTTGAAAAGTTTGTGTAGGACTGGTATCCATTCTTTAAATGTTTGGTATAATTCAGCAGTAAAGGCAGCAGGTCCTAGGCTTTTGTTTGATGGAAGACTTTTTATTATGGCTTTGATCTTTTTATTATGGCTTTGTCATTGGCTTGTTGAAGTTTTCAGTTCCTTTATAATTCAATCTTTAGGCTATGTGACCAGGAATTTTTTTAATTCCTTTTAGGTTTCCAATTTGTTAGTATATTGCTGTGCACAATAGTCTCTAAAGATTCTTTTGTATTTCTGAGGTTTTAATTTTATGGTTCATTTTTTGTGATTTTATTTATTGGTAGCTTATCTCTTATTTTCTTAGTCTAGTTGAAATTTTTTAAATTTTATTTATCTTTTCGAAAAACCTACTTTTAATTTTATTGATCTTTTGTATTTTTTAATCTTAATTTTATTTATTTCTGCTCAGATCTTTTTTATTTTTTCCCTTCTACTAATTTGGGGTTTGGCTTGTTCTTGCTTTTTTTGTTCCTTGAAGTTCATTATTCGGTTGTTTATTTGAAGTCTTTCTATTTTTTGCTATAGGCACTTATTGCTATAAACATCCCTCTTAGTACTGCTCTGCTGTATCCCATAGATTTTGATATGTGATATTTCCATTTTCATTTGTTTAAAGAAATTTTTAAATTCCCTTCTTAATTACTTCATTGACCCATTGGTCAAGGATCAGGTTGTTTAATTTCTATGTGTTTGTGTGTTTTCTGCAGTTTTTCTTGTTATTGATTTCTAGTTTTATTCTATTGCTGTCTGAAAAGGTACTTGATATGATTTTTAGTTTTATAAATTTGTTCAGACCTCTTTTTTGGCCAAAATATGATCTATTCTGGAGGATGTATCATGTGCTGATAAAAAGAATGTGTAGTCTGCAGAACTTGGGTGAAACATTCTGTAATTGTCAGTTAGGCCTATTAGATTTAGCATGTAGTTTAATGCTGATTTTTTTTTGTTCTGTCTGGGTGATCTGTCCATTACTGAAAGTGGAGTGTTAAAGTTCTCTACTATTATTGTATTCCTGTCTAGCTCTATATTTACGTCTGTTAACTTATCTTAGGTCACAAATACAATAATAGAAACAAAGGCAAAAAATACAAAAACTTTCTACACTTCAACTTTATCCTTTCCATATTTTGACTTTTACTTGCCTCATTTTACATTTTTTTTTTGCATTACCTATCTCTTAACAGATTGCTGTAGCTATTATTGTTTTTCATAGATTTTTCTTTTGGGCTTCATACTAAAGTTATGAGTTAATTGCACACCATCATTACAATGATGTGGTATTCTGAATTTATTCATGTACTTAGCTTTATCACTGGGTTTTATACTTTGAAAAGTTTTTGCATGTTGGTTATTTTTTTTTCTTTCAGATTGAAAAACTCCTTTTATCATTTTTTGTAAGATGATTCTGGTGACGGTGAATTCTCTTAGCTTTTGTCGCCTGGGAAAGACTCTCTCCTTCATATTTGAAGAATAATTTTCCTTGATAGAGTATTCTTAGATGGCAGTTTTTTTTTTATTTTTGAGCACTTTGAAAATGTTGTTCTACTTTCTTGTGCCATATATGGTTTCCTTTGAGAAGTTTATTGCCAGATGAATTAGAGCTCCTTTATATGTTATTTGCTTCTCTCTTTCTGCTTTTAAGATCCTCTTGAGTTTTGAGAGCTTAATTATTATAGACCTTAAGATAGTCTTATTTGGGTTGAATCTGTTGGCTTTTCTCAGACCTTCCTGTACCTGGATATTCATATCTTTCTAAAATTTTGGAAAATTCGTTATTATTTCCTTGAATAAGATTTGTACCCCTTGCTCTTGCTCAGTTGTCTTTTGAACACCAATAATTCTTAGATTTGATCTTTTGTGTTAACTTTCTACATCTTGGAGGTATTCCTTGTTTCTTTCATTCCTTGTTCTTTTTTCCTCCTCTGACTGTGTATTCCTAAATATCCTGTTTTCAAGGTCATTGGTTTTTTTATCTGCTTGGTCCATTCTGCTGTTGAGAGCCTCTAATGAGTTCTTCATTTCAGCAAAAGTATTTATCAGTTTCAAGATTTTTGTCTGATTTTCTTTTTTTTTTCTGATTTCAGTCTCTTTGCTAAATTTTTATGATAGATTTCTGAATTGCTTCTCTGGGTTATGTAAGAGATAATTTCATTTCCCTAACACTACTATTTTTAATTCTTGGTCAGAGAGAGCTCAAAAATCACCATCTCATTAGGGTCGGTCACTGGATTTTTGCTTTGTCCTTTTAAGAAACTCATGAAGGCAGGCGGATCACCTGAGGTCAGGAGTTCAAGACCAGCCTGACCAACATGCAGAAACCCCATCTCTACTAAAAATACAAAATTAGCTTGGCATGATGACACATGCCTATAATCCCAGCTACTCAGGAGGCTGAGGCGGGAGAATCGCTTGAACCCGGGTGGTGGAGGTTGCAGTGAGCCAAGATCGTGCCACTATTGCACTCCAGCCTGGGAAACAAGAGCGAAACTCCTTCTCAAAAAAAAAAAAAAAAAAAAAAAAGGAACTTATGATTTCCTGTTTCCTGTTGGTTGTTTTGGGCATGTGTCTATGTCTTTGCTTTGAAGGATTGAAGTTATGTATTCCAGTTTTCTTTATCTGCCTTGTTTTGTTCTTTTATTGGGTATATTTGCTTGGCGAATCTTTGACGCTATGTCACTGCCTTTTTGGCTCTAGATTGTGCCTGTAGCCCAGATTCACCTCAGATTTAGTAAGTGATCAAAGTGCTACTTGTCCTGAATGGGGGTGGTCCCAAAGGGATTATTCCAGCAGTACAGGGAGACTGTCTAGGGCTTTATGCCCAGGGGACCTATGGAAAGAACCTCCTACACTGTGGTGCTGCTGAACAGCCACTCTGATGTACATCTACTTTGGCCAAATTACGGAGCAAATTTTTCAAGACCAGCATGCTAGTCTTGCTCCTCACTTTGACTCTGTCTGTCCCCAGGGAAACGTCTTCCTTCAGGCAGTCACAGTGTTGCCCAGGGGAAAGGCAAGGATAGGTTTCCTGCCAGGATACCCCAGATGGTGGTGAAGCTGGTTGACCACTTTAATATCACTTTTTCCAGTGTAGAAACCAAGAATTGAGGAGAGATTTTCCACATAATTGACGCCCAGCAGACTGGGTCAGGAAGGGAATTTGCAGATATGGTAGTCCAATTTTCTTACCACCTATTTGGAGGTACTTTCACTTCTCTGTAGCCCCCAGGAACTCTCTTATCTCATATTCCAGTTGAGGGTAGTTGCTCGTGAAAATCTCAGTGCTATATGCATGTTTATGGTTTTCTTTTGGGTGAGTAAAGCCAACTTGCTTCTATGCTTCCATTTTGGAACTGGAAGTTCACATCTTTGATTCTTATACTCATTTGTATTCGTTTGCTAGGGCTGCCAAAACAAAGTATCACACACTAGGTGATTTAAACAATATAAATTTATTTTCTTACAGTTCTGGAGGCTAGCTATTCAAAATCAAGGTGTCGGCAGATTCTGTTTCCCTAAAGGCTTCTCTCATAGATGGCCTCCTTAGCCATCCTTAAGACCTTAGCCATCTTTAAGACCATGTCTTTACAGGGTCTTTCACATGTATGTTCCTTCCTCTTCTTATAAGCAAACCAGTCATGTTCGGTACCCACCATTATGAACTCATTAATTATCTCTTTAAAAGCCCTATCTTCTAACACAGACACATTGGGGTTTGGAGGTTCAGCATAGGAATTTGGATGAGAGGGAAACAATTCGGTCTATAAAATTATCCAAATAAGTAGACTAAGAGTTGATCCCTATCTTACAGGTAGATAGTAGTTTATTCCTATCATAAAAATGAAAAAAAGGGGCTTGGATAGTCTCACTTACTAAAAATGGAAGCTAGACACTTAGCTGTGCTGTATTCGGCTGAAAAAGCAAATTTTACAGGACCCATGTGAGGAACTCCATTTCAGGGTTAGCTAGAAAAGTGGACACTGTAAACCATCAGCACAAAGGGTTTAGGGCTAAGTTGAATCTGCAGAGGCCAGTGATGGAGCTAAAGGAGTTTGGAGTGGAGTTTTCAAGAATGCCAGGGTCTGAAACTCCACCTACCTGGAGCTATAATCATGATTTGATGATGGATATTTACTGAGCATTGCATGCCAAGCAATGAGTTAAGTGTGTGTGCAAACATACAGTGAGAGTAGTGCCCTATCAGGGCCTTATTTCACTGATGTGGTGTTCAAGGCTCAGACATATTTAATATAGTTAGTGGGAGAACCACTATTGACACACTGGCTGTTTGTTTTTCAGTTCACAAACCTGGACTCACCAAGCAAAGCTGCATCATGAAGTCACAGCTTCCAAGTCGCAGCTCAAATTCTTTCACTTTTAGGAACTTAGCCAGATCTCCTGATATGGAAACCTGTTATGAGTCTCTCTGTGAGACTGAGATGAGATCGGTCAAAAAAATGTGTAATAGAGATTTCTTTGTTGGTGCTACTGTGACAAAGTGTTACGCAGGTACAAAAGTAATTGCAGTTTTTGCCATTACTTGTAATGCAAGAGGTAAGGTCTATTATTTCTGTTAAACTAATGGCAAAAACTGCAATTACTTTTGCAACAACCTAATACCTGGGACCGAGTTATTTAGAAATAATAGAAATTTAGTTCTCATAGTTTTGGGGGATCGGGAGTCCAAGATCAAGGTACTGGCACTCAGCATCATGAGAGGGACTCCTTGTTGCATCCTCACAGGGCAGAGGCAGAAGTGTAAACACAGGCCTAAACTAATTCCTTTCAGCTTTTTTATAAGGCACAAACCATGATTAGTGCCTTATAAAGGGAAAGGAACTCCCATGAGGGTGGAGCCCTCATGATGTAATCACTTTTCCAAAAGTGATTAAATCTTAATACCATCCCAATGGAGATTAAATTTCAACATGAATTTTGGAAGTGATACTATCATTCGAACCATAGCAAGAGCAAATGTAAACTTATTCTGCAATGCATCTCCATTAGTATGCATGTTTTCACATGATAAGGTTATCTACTCATGCCAGATGATTCGTATGTTCATGACACTTGTAGCTTTTTCTAATACATATTATCCCATTAGCTCATCAGTAAAATACCAGTACCCATCTCTTATATATTTTGATACACTGAAGTCTCTCACATGTCCAATGCTGTCAACCTCTCTGATTTATATAGCTGTAAAGTTTTAAGACCAAGCTTATTTTTTCCCATCCCATTGGATGAAAAATAATACATTAGGATGGAAATGCAGATGATAATAGCCAAAATAATACATTTGTGATGTTTCAGAAAGTGTTCACTGCAAATGTGTGTCTATGTATGTGTATATGTAATTATAATTCATCCTCAGAATTCTGTGAAGAGGTAAGGTCTATTATTTCTGTTAGTTTATATGAAGAAACTGTCTCACATAAATTAATTAATCACATTTACTAAAATTACATAATGATGATGGTACAGCCATCTCCCTTATCCACAGTTTTACTTTTTGCAGTTTCAATTGACTAGAGGTCAACCATGGTCTGAAAATAAGTGTCTACAGTATATTAAGATATTTTGAGAGAGAGAGAGACTATATTCACATAATTTTTATAATAGCATATTATTATAGTTGTTCTATTTTATTAATTATTGTTGTTAATCTTTTACTATGCCTAATTTATAAATTAAACTTCATCATAACTATGTATGTATAAAAAAAACATAGAACAGTCATTCATTTTCTAATGACAGGGACATGTTCTAAGAAGTGTGTCATTAAGACGATTTTCCTTGTTGTATGAACATCACAGAATATAATTACACAAACCCCAGTGGTATAACTGATTATACACCTACATTATATGGTATAATCTATTATTCCTAGATTACAAACCTGTGGAGTGTGTAGTAACACACTGTAGGCAGTTGTAAGACACTAATAAGTATTTGTGTATCTAAACATATATAAACATAGAAAAGTTAATGTCTTGTGCTACAACACTAGAACAGCTATAATGTCACTAAGCAATAGGAATTTTTCAGTTTCATTATAATCTTGTGGGAGCACCATTGTCTATGCAATTTGTCAACCACTGAAATATCATTATATGGTGTCTGTTGTATATATAGGGTTGGGTACTATCCATGGTAGCAGCCATTAACTGGGGGTCTTGGAACATATACCCTGTAGATAAGGGGAAACTGTTGTATCATGACTAAAGTTCTGTAACTCCAGGGACTATGATGTATACATATCTGGTCCATGCATTATTTTTCTTGGAAAAATGTTGACATGGAACCCAAGTATATTTTAATGATTTTCTAAAATTATAGTATCTTCTTAGGTACTTCTCTAAAATGTTTATATCATTTTGAAATTTTGAGTCTGCATTATAATAAAGATATAGGAAACATTTCTATTTCACAAGGATGTAAATGCACAACTCTGCTTTTTAAATCTAACTCAGGAAATTAATTTTACTTATTTTCCTTGAATTTGAAAGTTATTACGTACTTGTAAATGTCAGTTAATGTTGGATGAATTGACAATGTAGGCATACATAATATAAAACTAATAATTTTAACATTTATATATGTAAAATTTATTTATGTAATAAATTATAAAATTTATATATGTAATATTCTAATATAGTAGCTCACATTTATTATCTACTAGCTGAAGTGCTAAACACTTTGTGACTTAATTCATTTAATTCTTACACACCTGGTTTTTTAGTTAACACAATAAGCATTATCATGTTACAGATATGAAAACTGAGGAAGAGAGAAATTAAGTCATTTATCTCAGTAGATTTGCTGGAGGTTTGAATCTATCATAGATCCAACATCAGCATTCATATTACTACCTTTGAACATACTAACCCCCAGTGGTGAAAAGACAACTAGTATTAAATTTACATGATAGTGTTTGAAGTACTGGCTTTATATGTCTTTTAGTTCTTATGGGAGATTATTTATATTGATAGTCCTGATTAATGGCCTCCCTGTTTACTTATGATTTGCAGTTCTTCCTGCTGTTGAGTGAGTCTTTGGCCATCTGTTGAATCTGGGCTATTCTGATAGAAATAAGTGATTACATGAAGATGGTCCCAAGTATAGACCTTAAGTCCATCTCATAACAATCTACAGGTCTTCTACTATCAAATAGTTAAGAGAATGCAGATCACAGGCAAGAGTTGCCTACTCAGCCCATAGTTGAGTATTAACACATGAATGTGCCCTTCTAAGAAAAGAGGAATCACTCTACTGACCCTTAGACTTGGAAGCAATAATAAATGCCTATTTTGTATGTTACTGAGTTTTGGCGTAGTTTGTTATGCTTCAATAGCAAAATAATGCAGCAACTGGCAACCCAAGTGAGATGATGCTATAATACAAGCTCAAAAATATGTGGCATTAGCTTTAGTTGGAGTAATAAGTAGAACCTGTTAAAAAAAAAAGTTAGCAAACAATTGCAAAATTATGAGAAAAATAGTGAGGAAGTTTTTATCCAAGGTAATCAATATTGGAATGCATTTTATGTGTTAGTTAAATAATTCACAAAATTTTAGGCAGCTTTTAATGAGAACATGGAAAAATAATTATGAAATTATGGTTCCAGATAAGAAGTCCCTTAGGCAGAAAGTTGAAAGTTTCAGCTGAGTGCTATCAGTCGTATATGATAAGATAAGGAAAGAAAGGCATGTGCTAACAAAACAACTGACCAGTTTGTGTGTAGCATGCCAAAGGAATGTAGAGGTGCCAGGATTTGCTGGGTTAGAAATAAAATAGTATCTCATTTCCAGTTTCTCCAGCTAGCAAAAGATTCTCAAAGAAAAATACAGGCTTAGGGTGTAAATAGGATGTTTCTATAATAACCTTTGTTAAGATATCAGAAAAAACTTTAGCTGGTACCTTCTAGAGACCCAGGTACCCAATCTTTTGGCTTCCCTGGCCACATTGCAAGAAGAATTGTCTTGGGCCACATGTAAAATACACTAACACTTATAGCTGATAAACTTTAAAAAATTGCAAAAAAAAAAAAATCTCATAATGTTTTAAGAAAGTTTAAGACTTTGTGTTGGGCCACATTCAAAGCCGTCCTGGACTCCAAGTGGCCCATGGGCCAGGGGGTGGACAGGCATGATCTAGACCCTTGTAGCTTAAAAAAAAAAAAAGTCATCTAGGAATTTGAAGGGTATTGTTCCATAGCAATATTACGTGTTTCAAGTTTCTGTGGCATGTTTCAAAACACTTAGTGATTAAGGATTTGGCAAATGGAGTTGAATGAGATTAACAGAAGGCTCACAACGTTTTTAAGAGTTGCATTGGTAAAAAAGAGCCTATTTTGGATTAAAAAGTGGCAAGATGATTCAAATATCTAGAAGTCCTCTGAGATTCCAAATTTCTATGAGATAGAATAAAGCTGTTCAGTTTTCACTGTCACCATAGATCATTTATTCAGAAGATTCTGAGGGGGATACAAAAAAAGAAAGGACATTTCAGAAAGTAGAGCCAACGACCAAAAGAAGAGTGCCAAGTAAGATACTGGAGACACAAACCTACAGAGAAGAGCCCAGGAAACATTCCCCACTTTTAGAGTGTGTGGGTAGGGGTGGGTGGGTTGACAGGCAGTATTTGGCCAATGCGTTTACTGAATTGGTATGAATTAGTGATGCTTTGTGCCTTCCATTCTTCCCTTCCACTTTTAGAATGGGATTGGACATTATGGATATTCTTTGTACTATTATATGTTGGATGTGCAGGAGGAAGATAACTTGCTTTTTAAATTCATAGTTCTCTGGCTCAAAAGGAGTCTCATTCAGTGAACTGCATCCAGACCTGATGTATATCATAATGCTTGTGCTCGCAACCTGGTGTTGTAATTTGATGAGACTTTTAGAAATTTATGGAGGAGTAAATGTATTTTGCATGGTAAGAGATATGAAAAATTTGGGCCAAATTCAGATCATAGTAAATAGGTTGCATTGATTACCCAAATAGCAGTCTCCCTATTTTTATCTCCTTTTCCATGCAAGTTTCTGGTTTTCACTCACTCTGACTCTTGGCTGGCCTCGTGACTTGCTTTGGCAAAAAGTATGTGTGATATAAGTTAATGCTTTTGAACCTAAGCCTGAGGAGGGTTTGCATACTTCTGCTTGCTCTTGTTCATGGTGGAGCAGATTTGCTTTTAGATTCTTGCCTCCTCAATAATAACAAAGCCAAGTCAGTCTACTGGAAGATGAGAGACTTCATAGAGGAGAGCAGAGAGACGTTCATTCTCAGCCGGTCAACCTCCAAAAGCCATCTTGCCTTAGGAACCCATAGCTGACTCCCAAAGCATGAAGTAGCTTACCTAAGACTGAGAAACCACACAGCTGAACCCATGCTAAATTGCTGATGCACCGAATTTTAAGCTTAATGGGTTGCTGTTATTTTAATACTCTATGTTTCGGGACAGAATATTCTATGGCAGCTGTAAGTGATGCAACTCTGCAACTGTGGACTTGTTATTAAAACTCATCTGCATTTAGTTTTCTTCATCTGCAATTTGTAGATGAAATGAACTTTAGATTGTAATCATATTAGTAAGTTAACATTTACAACATATATTACACAGGTTTCCAGTAAACATTTAAAAATGAATAAACAAGTGGTTAGTATTCAATACTTTTTTCTAGAAGTTTCATTGTAGGTGTTATGCAGTTAGAATAATTGTGAGATTGTTTTCCACTTTCCTGCATTAAAAAACAAGAAGATGTCTTCGGTTTCTTTCAAAACATGTTATTCTGCCTCTGTAATGGGTACTTGTGGGATTGACTGAAGAACAATGCCGTATTAGAAGTCATAGCGGTTTGGGGAAAGCCAGGAAACATTTTCTATTGAGATAGAGATAAAAGAATCTTTCTCAGAGAAAAGGTAGTAGCTAAGTGCTTTGTAAAAAATAACAAAGCAGGATCATTAGTCTAAAGAAAAAATAGCACTGTCAGAAATTATATATTATACCTTTTAAAGGTAAGTAAGAAGTCAGAGTCATTGTCCCAGCCTCATGAGGCACTTTTTTAAAAGATAGGTTTACACTAATAACACTGTAATTTATGCCAACTTCTTTACAAAACCTTCCTCTCTCTCTCTTTTCTTACACATAACAATTGTAATATGTAAAGAAGTACAGACTAAGCCTTCCTTTGGTCTTATTTTGGACTAGTAGCAATCCTTTATCAGATGTAGGAAGGTGTGTGACATCATACAAGAAAAAAGAGCTCACGTTTGTTCATTGTCAAAAATAAATTGAAATACAGAAGAACCAGGGGTTACCAGAGAACCCTATTGAATTTACTGTTGCTATTGAGTAATACAAAGGAAGGTTGCAGTGGTGGAGCTTTGGCAGTGATCCAAGATGAGAAATTAAGACAATCGTAGTAATGAATTAGAATAAAATATCTCAGACATAACTCCTATTATAAAAGAAATTCAACTGCATTATCTTATGCTTTCTCATTTATAGCATAGTAAGAGGCAAAGAAGATGATTTCTAAAATCCCTAAAATTCAAAATCTTGCGTGTAACTTCCTTCCTTTTTATCCAAACCCTGTCTACCAGGAACTGGTGAGGCCTTAAATGAGGGCATATTTATGCTTCCCAGTGTTAAAATAGGAGAGCCAGGGTCAAGGATACAGTGCGAGATTCTATTCAGTGCAGTTTCTATTACACAAGGACCAGAGAGTCTTGAGGCTCAAAGTAACCCCCACATCTAACCCTGCTCATGTACTTTGAACTTCACAGTATATAGATAGATAGATAGATAGATAGATAGATAGATAGATATGTGTGTGTGTGTGTGTGTGTGTGTATGTGTGTGTGTGTGTGTGTGTGTGTATATATATATATAATAAAATTTTTTTTTTTGAGATGGAGTTTCACTCTTGTTGCCCAGGCTAGAGTGCAATGGCATGATCTCGGCTCACTGAAACCTCTGCCGCCTGGGTTCAAGAGATTCTCCTGCCACAGCCTCCCGAGTAGCTGGGATTACAAGCGCCTGCCACCATACCTGGCTAATTTTTTGTATTTTTAGTAGAGATGGCATTTCACCACGTTGGCCAGGCTGGTCTCGAGCTCCTGACCTCAGGTGATCCACCTGCCTTGGCCTCCCAAAGTGCTGGGATTACAGGTGTGAGCCACCGTGCCCGGCCTGGTCTTTTTTTTCTTTTTTTTTTGTTTTTCACATTTGGTCCAGCTAGATTATGACACATTGCAAGCTTTTCTTGAGTGTGTATTGAAAAAGTAATTGTCTTTTGAAAGGTGCATAAACAATAAACTTGAGCAGTGTGTGACTTGTATGTGGGAGAATAAAGTGGTATTGGTATGGGTGCACAGAGGAGGACCCTACAAATCCTTTTTGAAGATTCTGAGAAACCTTTATAAAGAGATGGTGTCTGAGGTGGGTATTAAAAGATAAGTGAAAATATTTTGTACAGAGGGTATCTAAGGAACCTACAGGAGAAAGAGAACGCTAGTCATTAATTCAGAAGTTTAGGCTCTCATTATGTGAGATATCTAGACTTATAACTAACTCATAGAATTAGCCAATAAAATATTTGTGAAATAAAATTTAAAAAGTGTTCTCCAGTCCTCTAGATTTGAAGGATGCCTAGGTTATCAGAAATGAATGGAAGAAAGTTGTGACCTCCATTCTGGCAATGTTCTCAAGACTGACTTCAGTATGCTGCCTCACCTATATATCTCTCAGTTTGAGATGTAAGACTTGCATCCAAAAACACCATAAAGGATATTTCACAAATATTATGTGAAGTGGTCTTCCTCCTTGGGGGTGTATCTTCATGTTTTACATTGCATATGTTTCTGGTGCATGCATGAGTTTAGTGAAGGCAATTTCTAAATTTCTACTGGTGCAATGTCTATGTCTCCAACACTTATGTTAGTACTCTGAGCAGGCCTTAAAGTTCTGCCTCCCATGAAGGCCTAATGGTATACCCGTCTTTAGAATATTAGAGATGTGAGCTCCAGCAGAACAAAATGACAGTAGTTCCACATGACCTATGCAAACTGAATTTCATCTGCATGAGAAAACTAATTGAATATTAATTGAGATGTGTTCTTGGCCTAGTAGGTAATAGCGACATGATCAGTCAGCAGTGCCTCTCTTGAGCCAATCAAGGGGAGGAGAGGCCCAAGTGCTGGTTGTTTTCCGTTTTCCTTCTGGATGGTTAGAGGGCTACTGAATTGTCATACGTTGTATTTTCTTCTTTCTCTGAATGATCCTATGACACCCTCCCTGACATCCTTCTTCTAATTTCTTCCTGTCTTACTCCATTTCTTCATGCATTTTGTATTTTTTCTTTACTTGTCCTAATAGTCATTTCATCCACTCTACCTAATTGCCTCTGCTCAGATCTGAAAGAAAGAGATAGTCAGAATCCATGTGAATGGAACAACATGCTAACCAAAGTGTTTGATTATTACCACTCCTAAATCTCAGATTTATCTGAAGTGCCTCAAGGGATCTTGATATCACCCTATCAACCTTTGCCTCAAGGGATCTTGATATCACCCTATCAACCTTTGCCTCAACAAACAGAAATAGCCAATTAGGATTGTAGCACCTATTCCAGAAACAGAAGCTTCCTAAGACCTCAAAGTCCCTACCCTTTTCTCTGAGTCTACCTGACTGTCCTGACACAGGTAAAAATTAATATTCTTGTTATTCTGGTCCATAAGACATATAAAATATATTTCTATTTTGTTCCTACTACTCTAAGTGCTTGTAAGTTGTGTAGGATTTTAATGCTATTATGCCATTAAAAAAGGTTCAATGAATGTGATTACAATAACTTAGGTTCTTATTTTTTGAGCTAGCTACGTGGCTCTGACCATTGGAAAACATGATATTTGTCTTATCTGCTTCATTAGGTTGCTGCAAGGTTTATGGAGTTAATGGATATGAAACTGCTTTGTATAATGCTATTCAGATACAAGGAGTTGTTATGCATTTATGTATTAATAGCGTATTTATATCACTCTTCCAAAAATGACTTTATGAAGCTAATGCATATTCAATAAAATAAGAAAATGTTCCATTTAAATAAAAATTTGCTTCATAAAAGGGTAAATTTTAAAAAATAGTTATTTTATTTTGCTTTTCTCTAAACTTTAGTCTTCTACTTTTCTGGAATCAGCCATGTGACTTGACTTAACCTGTAAGAATTTTGTGTATATTTAGAACTATGTTTCTCAAAAGAATTGATAGAATGTCCAGTAACTTGTTATACTGCCATTTAACTAATGCTTTTTTCCTCAATAATTATTGATTTTGTTCTATGCTCCCTGTGAACATGCATAAAAAGATAAATGAGAATTATACCCTTATAGTGATAAAAGGTAATTTCATTTTTCTATACCTTCAGGAAAAATCTAATGACCTTGATAATATGATCTAATAATTATCTCCCACCATTTATTTGTATAAGCTCTCCCAGTGTATTAGACCAAATCAAACTGCTTTTCGTGATCCCGATTCCCAAAACACCTCCAGGTGTATTGAAAGACATGTTAAGTTTCTTTTGCTCTCAATGTCTTTCTGATTCTCTAAACAGAAATGTTTCTTCATCCTCCAAGAATCAGCCCTACAATTTCCTGCTTTAATAAGTCTTCCTTATTACTTTAGTTTGGGAGACGTAGGGAAGTGTACAGGTAATAAGTGATCTAAGGGAAAAGACTGGACTGACGGATAAATGTTTTCATCTCTCTTTTCTACCACAAGTTTGGGAAGAGTGGTCAAGTGGACATTCAATCCATGATTCAGGGACGACTGCAAATATGAGGAGAATTTGCTCCCATTCCTCTGAGATGACACTAACGTGAATGGCTTTATTAGAGAGAAATCTCCTGCCTATTTAACAACCTGACAGAATCCTGCAGCGTAAGATGGCATACTAGTCCAGAAAATCTGCCAAGATGATCCCAGCAGCACCTTATCATTTGCAACTACTGATATGATTGTTATGACTTCATTGAACCCACCGTCAATGAAATCTTGAGCGTATTCTTTGAATTTAGGACTTTCTCCCAGCCAGGCACTCCAATCATAGAAGTGGTCATTTGGACTTGAGTGCTGTTAACTGGGCATTGTTGTTGGAGTGGCACAGTTAGTTCAGTATTACCGAGTTGATGAGGGGAGTGAGCAGAATTCATCTTTTTTCACATTGCTGCTCTCAATGGATTTTCTTCCTGAGAAGACTACAGTGAATAGAGTCCCAAACTTGTAAAACTATTTATTGTTAAATATAAGACCCCTGTTTCTTTTCTCCACATTCCCACCCTCATGAATTTTCCAAGGTCCTCTGAGTCCTTTTCATGGGAAAATACCAACAAAAGCAGGTTGATCATGACTAGATTATCTTGGCAAAGAATAACTAAAAGGTCATTCAGTTTTTTGTCTCTGAAACAACCAACCTTCTTTGGAAGTAAATGAAATAAGTCTCTTTGCTGCTGATTTGTTTCAAAAATAGGAAAAGGTAGAACAATAGGCACATTATGCAGAGTGTTTCTGAAAAGAACTTTTATAAATTGGTAATTTAGAAAATCAGTGGGTTGCAGACGAGACATAGCATCCTCTGTTGAGCTTTCAGCAATAACAGAAGTGTCATTTGAGTACACTCTTTAATCAAACTTTTTACGATCTATACCCGGTCTGTGCAGAGTTGAGTACTTGGGGCTGAGTGATATATTCCAATGCCTCCTACTTACATGAGATCTAAGATGCTACTTTATCAAGCTCATTTTCCACAGGAGGGAGGTTGAGCAGACAGAGAGGCTGAGCAGTACATCCAAGGTCATGCTAAAAGTGAATGGTTGAATATGTGTTTCTCATCCTTTCCTTTTGATTCAGCACTCCTGTGTGCTTATAAAAGATGACTAACCCCAATTTGTCACTCAGCTATTTCTACATCCTTTCCTATCTGGTAAAAATTACATTGATTTTGGCCAGGATGTCAGGGAACTACACTTATTCTCAGGAAAGGCAAAAGTCCCTCCCAGAACTGGGAAATGAATTTTAATTGATCTGAATGTTTACTTATAATTTCAGTCCCTAATTGTTGATGGTTGCTTTAGGGGTAAACGTATAACCTGCTTTCAGCAAGCGAGACTTAAATGTAAATGTAAATGAGTTGGAGGATTCCTTTCCTGAAGTAAACCATAGCCTTTTCTGGTCCTTAAATCTATCTTGTATGGAGGCATGAGGATCTTTAGCGCTGTAATAACTATCTGTATCTATAAGGTAAATAGTGGAGGGATAAAAACGGCTTAAGGTCCTTAGGTATATTTATGAGCTAATATGAAAAAACCTGGAAACACCTCCAGAGTTCATGCCAAGTTATCATAATTTCAAGTTTTTCAAGTTGAAGCCACTATATTCCTTTAAATTCAATTTAAAGCATTACTAGTGGATGGATGAGGTTAGCGCATATTCCAAGTAGAGCTTCTTGCATGCTTACAGAGAAAGTGGGGGTTACCAGGGGTAAACTAAGCCTTGAGTGAAAAAGATGGTCATTTAAGTCTAAATAGGGAAGTCTAAATCATGAAGCATAGAACTGATAACCTCCTTGAGTCACAATTAAGAATGAATTTGTCAGATTCACAGTTTGCAAATGCTTTTTCTATGATGTAACTTGCCTCTTTACTATGTTGATTGTTTATTTTGCTGTGCAGAAGCTTTTTAGCTTAATTAAGATTCATGTATCTATTGTTATTTTTGTTGAGTTTGCTTTTGAGGACTTGGTAATAAATTATTTACGTAGGCCAACATACAGAAGAGGTTTTCCCAGGTTTTCTTCTAGGATTTTTATAGTTTCAGGTCTTACATGTTATCTTGAGGTAATTTTTGTATATGGTGAGAGGTATGGGTACAGTTTTATCCTTTTCCATATGGCTATCCAGTTTTTTCTGCATCATGTATTGAATAGGGTGTCCTTTCCCCAGGGTATATTTTTGCTGACTTTTGTCATTTAGTGGGAGGTATATGGCTTATTTCTGAGTTCCCTATTCTGCTCCATTGATCCATATGTCTGTTTTTACACTGGTGCCATGTTGTTTTGGTTACCATAGCTTTGTGGTATAATTTGAAGTCAGGCAATGTGATGCCCCCAGCTTTGTTCTTTTTGCATATGATTGTTTTGGCTATCTGGGCTTTTTTTGGGGTTTCATATGAATTTTAGGATTGTTTTCTATACTTCTGTGAAAATTGATGTTAATAATTTGATAGGGATTGCATTGAATCTATAAATTTTTTGAGAAGTGTGGCTACTTTAACAATATTGATTTTTCCAATTCATGAGCATAGGATGCTTTTCAGTTTGTCTGTGTCATCTACGATTTATTTCATCAGTGTTTTGTAATTCTCCTAATAGAGATTTTTTTTTTACCTTCTTGTTAAATGTTCCTATGGAACTAAAAGAGCTCAAGAAGAGAAAAAGAAAAAACAAACCCATTAAAGATTGAGCAGAGTTTATGAATGGATATTTTCAAAAGAAGACATATAAGTGGCCAACAAGAAATATATGACAAAATGTTCAACATTATTAATCATAATATACATGTAAATTAAAACCACAAGGAGATATCATCTTACACCAGTCAGAATATCTATTATTAAAAAGTCAAAAAACAACAGATGTTAATGAGGTTTTGGAAGAAAGGGAACATTTATACACTGTTGGTGGGAATGTAAATTAGTACAGCTTTCATGGAAAACAGTATGGAAATGTCTCAAATAACTAAAAACAGAACTATCATTGAACCAAACAATCCCACTGAGTATGTACCTAAGAAGAAATAAATAATTATATCAAAAAGATACCTGCATTTGTATGTTTATCATAACACTACTCACAATAGCAAAGATATAGAATCAACCTAAGTATCCATCAAAGGAGGTATGGATGATGAAAATGTGGCATATATATATACATACACACACACACACATATATATATAATATACATACACATATATGGAATACTACTCACCATTCAAAAGAATAAAATTATAGCTTCTGCAGCAACATGGATGGAACTGGAGGCCATAATCCTAAGTGAAATAATGCAGAAACAGAAAGTCAAATATTGCATATCCTCACTTACAAGTGGGAGATAAACAATTGGTGCACACTGACGGACTGAACTAATAGACACTAGAGACCACAAAAGTTGGAAGGATGAGAGGCAGGTGAGGATTGAAAAGTTACCTATTGGGTACAATATTCACTATTCAGGTGATGGGTTCACTAAAAGCCCAGACTTCACCACTATGCAATATATGCATGTAAGAATTCTGTGCTTGTACCCCATATATATATATAGTTTGCATAACTATATATTTATGTATAAGTTTGCACAGAAGTGTAATATTTTCAGTGTAGGGTTCAGATCAGCTGGAGATACATGGGAATTCCAGACTCTGGAAAAAGTCATAAGTAGTGTAGTCTGTGATGATATCAGACAGAAATGAAGTTGTTCTAGTAATTGAGTACAAGCCGGAATAAAAAGAAATGACACCAACATCTAGCCCCCAAAAGCTTACATATGGGCAAGATTTGGCAAACTGACCCATCAGCCAAATTTGGTCTACTGCCTGTTTTTGAAAACAAACTTTTATTGGAAGACAGATCCATCCATTGTTTATATTTTGTTAATTTGCATGGAAAAATTCAGTAGTTGAGACAGAGACCATATGGCCCACATAGCCTAAAATACTTGTTATCTTGCCCTTCATTGAAAAAGTTTCCTGACCCCTTGTCAAATATCCAATGAGGGTTTCCTGTTCTGGAGACACAGAGAGTCCTTAGACACACAAAAAACATGGAAGACGAGAATAAAAAGACCAAGAAAGATTGAGCATTTGAGTGGGAAAAAGGAATAGCTGCTGCCCCTTAATATTACAAAAAATGCTTTGCATTTATGCCAGTGTCTAACATTACATTAAATGTTTGTGTTTGCATAACTATATAAAAGAACAGACAAATTTATAGCTCTGCTAATATTTTACAAAGGAAATTTTTATATGCTGAACATCTGACTACCTATTGCCTCTGGTATTTAGGCAGGGAGTCTCAATAAATTATTGCAGTGCACATGCAGAATAGCTCATGCATTTATGAGAAAGTGTGTGGATAGGTTGATTTTGGCTTTGGGTGCTGAGGTAGAGGAGAGCAACAGAGTTGTGCTGACATACAAGGCCTTAGCTTTCTATTTTATCGCACAGATTACTTTTGGCCCAAAGCCTGACTGATGTTTTACCATTACCCATCAATACGATTACACATACTTCACATCTAAAATTGCTTTTCCCAAACTAAGTGTCATAAAAAATGCAACAAAGGAAGAGATGCTTCATGGCAAGCCAAATGTTTCTACACAAAGAGAAAAATAAACATTACCTTTTCATAAAACTTGCTTTGGGAGCTGAAATTCATATAATAAATTCATAAAGAGACTTTGCTATGATAGGAATAATTTGGCCCTAAACGTGAGTTGCTTTTATTCAGGTAATAATTGCCTGGCAATTTTCGAGGTGTTTCTCCCCTTCTTTACGGCCATGTTTACAACGTTGCTAAGAAGTAGAAAGCCTAATACAGAGTGTTTTGGGGCTTAAAATTTACCCTAAGGTGTTTGAACCAGGAGAAAACACCATGACCACTGTCTTCATGAATAATTGAAACAGGAGTAAAATCTTCAACTGCACTTACTTGCATCATCAATTAAATCTAGTAATTGAAACATTATAAGGAAAATGAACTCAATAAGAGCTTTATTTTTAGGATGAAACCTTCAAAATACGGAGCAATCGCTATAAAAATTTTCTTGCATGATCCTTTGTTTGAACTTTCTGCTTCTCTTAGTATGGATAGTGCCTAATGACCTTACATGACACAGTTCAAATATTTTCTCCTTAAATGGGGTCTGTCTTTGCTGATCCCAGTGAACCCTATAGTCTTTTGCTTACTTAGAGCCCTGAACCTGGTGTGACTACACATTTAAAAAATATCGGATGGAATTGCATAATATCTATGCTGCCTTATTATATTTAATTTTCTCTGAAGCTGCAGATGTGTGTTTGTGACAAAAATAGATTAATTTTATTCTCTTTACTCTAGAAATCCCATTTTTTCAAATAGAGTATCCTGTTCATCCTGATATTTTGTGATGTTGTGCAGATCTGTGACCTGAAATGGTAAATTGCACATTACCAGATTATTCTAAACGGGAATGCGGAGTTGAATATCATTGACATTGTAAACTTATGTTTGTAAGATGACCAGTTTAGTGCCCAGGAGGTAATATTTTATATATGTAAGTACGTTTATGTACATGTTATATATATTATAAATATATCACATTCTATATAATACTTTATACAAATCTTATTATGCAAAATAGATGTTATTTGAATTGTTTTATTAAATCTGTACATTAGATGCAGATTTTTATTTCCTTTTTAGAGGAACAGATTGAAAACATAGATCTTATACTCTACTGCCATTAACACAATTGAATGGCCTTAATTTCTCAATAGGATCATTTAATATTCATTTTTTAATTTCTGCATTTACACATAATATCTCTCTGGAGGCCTCTAACAGATTCTATTGCTGCAGTTTTAATGAGAACTATCAAAGGTTACTATGAGATGATGATCTATACTTAATTCATAGATTTCCCCAGACACTTGTGTAATTCAGTGCTGTTTAGATTCTTTTCAACTTTTATTGTCTTGAAACATTTATCCCAATTTTAACTGCATATTTAATCATTATTAGCATAACCCTTTCATTCTTCAAGTTAGTATTTTGAGAATTGATATGGAAAAATTATGGCCTCTTCAGGGAATTTAATAACTTTGCTTGTAAGGAAACACTGAAAAGTCATTTTGTGTAGGTGTGATGTTTCAAAATATGTTCTGGTCGAATATTTTTATGTAACCAAACAGTATTGATGTTTGAGTCTTCCAAATTTTATAATTATAATTTTTTGGCATAAATGCATTGATCAGAATAAAAGATATCAAGTGCTTAGTTAAAGATGACTGATATGCATTGATTTTGGAGAATACATGTGAGTCAAAACCATATAGACATAAAAGGAAAAACCTGAATTATAATCTGGATTAAAATCTTAATTGTAAGGTTTCAGATAAGTTTTGTAATTGTGGTGAAGTGTTCTTACCTTATTTATTTTTTTCTCTTCTATCACTAGTAATATTACAAATTTATATTCAATGAAGAGCAAATAAAAGAGTAGATGTGAATACAATAAACAGACTCAAGGAATTTTTGTTGCTGCAGTTGCTTTTATTATAGCAGGTATTGAAATGAATTATACCAGGTATATTCAAATGAAATAAAGGTTAGAGTAATTTAGTGCTATTATAATTGTATTTAAGACAAGATTTTAAATTTAGTGAAATTCTTGTCTTCAGTATTCTATTATTGGCCTACATGAGAAGAAACTTCTTGGACCGAATCCCAGCATCTTACTGCTCCTTTCTGTCTCAGTTTGTCAATCCTTCTCACTGAACTTCAGCATAACCATGCAATGGGAGAGAAGCCATGTGTGATTATTGTCTCACAGATGGATATAAAAACTGAAGTTCAAAAGAATTATGAAAAGCATCTCTGGTCATTCTCCTTATAAGTGAAAGGTTAGGTCTAGAATGTGTCTGAAGGTGTGATTCACGTGACAAGGAATCGAGAAAATTTAAAGATTTGTGTACAAAGAGAAGAAAAGGTCATGTTTGTCTTCCAAGTCAATAATTCAAGCGTTTGCTTTCTTGACATGTACACTTCCTATAGCTCATCTGGAGTTTTTAGTTCTTTTCATTATGTACTTGTACCAAAACTCCACTCAAGACTGACTTTGCTCATGAGACAGCTTATATCAACCTGGATGCCTTAGGTATAATAGGAAGCTTTTGTAGTATTTGGCTAATATTTTCTTATGTTTCCTTCTTAAATTTTTGGTGGGCATTCAAATTCTATAATTTTTTTTCAAAGCTCATTATTTTTTTATCAGTGTTCTTGGAAAAAGATCAACACGAGTCTAGGTCTAGTGATCCTATTTATCTTATTTAAGTCTAGCTAGCTTGTCTCAGTCTTCCTTTTCTTCATCTGAAAAATAAAGGCTTTAAAGAAGATGGTCCTCGGGGTACAATTATTTAACTCTAATAATTCTGAGATTTTTTATAAATTGCATCTCAAGTACACGTTTTAACGTTTATAGATGGATTTTGACATTCTAAATATATTTTAAAGAAAATTTGATATTTTAATTTGTTTTAGTAGTCCTGTTTTGTTAAACACACCTCCCTGCCAGGAAACATACTAGCACTGTCTTTATACTTCCAGAGGTGATTCGGGGGATTTTGAGTGCATCATAATTGTTGACTGACTTGGAAGGTAAACTTAGAAAACAGGCAGAGACTGTACAAAGCAAAAATATCAATCGCTGACCTTCTCAGTTCCATATGCTTTTGTCAGGATGTCTTTATTTCCAACCTAGACATAGTCGATAGCACAATTTCAAAGATGCACATTTTTTTGTCTCCATTCACATCTTTTGTTATGAAGGTGATATTCCACATAACCCATGGTACTGACTATCTGAAATCCCTATCAAGGAAGAGGCTATAGAACCACAGTCCTAACTGCCCCTGTGTATTATCTGAAATCAATCCTATATTGTTCTACATCTCTGCTGGTCTCACAGTCACCACTAAATTATTCAATAATTTTCATTAAATGCTCACCTACTCCCATGCTCCTTTTAGACATACAAATAAAAAATCATAAATGCTAATGCATCTTTATTTTCATATTTTTTGTAGCTTGTTCACATGAAACCCAGAAGGCATAGTTTGGAGAATCCCTATATTCAAAAAAGATGGTGCCATGATATATTTCTAGCCCTATGTGATCAGGTGAAGTTATGAAAATGATAGGGAATATGGTTGCCATAATCAAGGAATCAGATCTGTGAAGCAATTATTATAATTCAGTGTGAAAAATGCTACAGCTAAAGTGCATGCATAGTATGGTGGAAGCATGCAGAAGAAACCCTTCACTTCTCTGGGGGATTTAGGAGGTCTTCACAGGTTACACTGTGATTTGTAACAGAAAGAATGAAAAGAGCTTTCTAGACAGACAAGACAGGTACGTGCATTTTAGGAAAATGAAGACAAAATCAAAGTCATTGTGGTATGACAGAAGAAGCCCGGCCAACTGTTAGCAAATTAATTTAAACAAAATGCGACTGGGCGCAGTGGCTCATGCCTGTAATCTAAGGACTATGGAACTGCTTGAGCCCAGGAGTTTGAGACCAGCCTAGACAACATGACAAAACTTCGGCTATATTAAAATTACAAAAATTAGCTGGGGTTTGTGGCATGCTCCTGAAAAAAAAGCAAAAATGAAATCCATGTGAGCACCTGGTAGCAGCAATGGGAGATGAGACTGCAGTCATAGACAAGAGACCATGTAATACAATTCCTATAGTTCCTAATACAGATTTTGAACTCTATTCCCTAAACATGGAATAAACCATGAAAGATTTGAAGCATCGATAGAACTCTTAGATTTGTGCCTTAGTGTTTATAGGCAAGTATGATTTCCATTTTTTTCTACATGGACAAATAGATTTGAAATGATACTAAAGTTCTGATATTGTATTATTTTAACTCTATGTATCATGCTATTTTTTTCACACTTCAAGATCCTAATTTGGTTTAGGAGTAGAGTCTAGCAGAGATCTATATTAAAAAGTTGACTTTCATGCATTTGTTACCTTCAGCATCCTGAAATATTAATGGACACTGTGATGGTTAATATTGAGTGTCAACTTGATTGGATTGAAGGATGCAAAGTATTGTTCCTGGGTGTGTCTGCAATGGTGTTGCCAAAGGAGATTAACATTTGAGTCAGAGGACTGGGAGAGGCAAACCCACCCTCAATGTGGGTGGGCACTGTGTAATCAGCTACCAGCATGGCTAGAAGAAAGCAGGCAAAAAAAGTTGGAAAGGGCAGACTTGCTGAGTCTTCCGGTCTCCATCTTTCTCCCGTGCTGGATGCTTCCTGCCCTCAAACATCAGACTTCAAGTTCTTCAGCTTTTGGACTCTTGGACTTACACCAATCATTTGCCAGGGGTTCTTGGGCCTTCTGCCACAGACTGCAGTCTACACTGTCAGCTTCCCTACTTTTGAAGTTTTGGGACTCGGACTGGCTTTCTTGCTTCTCAACTTGCGGATGGCCTATTGTGGGACTTCACCTTCTAATTATGTGAGTCAATTATCCTAATAGACTCCCCTTCATGTGTACATATATCCTATTATTTCTGTCCCTTTAGAGAACCCTGATTAATACAGACACTGTCCTAGGGTATAACAGATTGTGAGGATAGAGTTTCCTACAATATAGATGAGTAGGGCATGGGATAAGAATATCTGTGGCCATTGTGATCTTAACCAAAATCGAGGTATTTTTCATCATCTTGCCTTATTCCACATATAATATCACAAATTTTCTAGAGTCTGATGGTAAATTGTTTTCATTAGAATTGAAATGTTTTTTCCCTCTGTTACAATTTTGGGCCGTACTTTCTAATTTGTCATGTTAGATGTCTAATTAGTAATTCTTATGGCAAACCAACAAACTACTTACTGGTTTAATACTGTAACTGTTTCTTAGCTCACAGTCTGCAGGTCAACTGGGCAGTTATTTTGGCCTGAGCTGGTATACATTATTATCTGTGGAGCTCAATGCTCCCGACATATCAGTTGTCACCTGCGGATCAGCTCATACTGTTTTGTTTTGTTTTGTTTTGGTGCTGGCTGAGTGTCCTCACTTATTCAAAGCCTTGACTGGGAAAACTGGACTCTGATAAAAGTCTCTCATCGTCAACTCCAGAAAGTCTTGTTCTCATAGCACAGTGAGGATCGAACAGAACAAGTAGAAGTTTGCATGCCCTTGTGAGGTCGACTGGCATGATGTCACATCTGACTCATTCTTTTAGACAAATCAAGACATAGATATTCCACATTCAATTGGCGGATAAATAGGCATTCTTGATGGGAGAACGTGCAAACTCAAGTTGTAAAAGGGCTTGGGTACAGAAATTGAAAGTCTGGCTATTTTTTGCAAACAGTCTATCAGAGAGACTTTTTTTTAAGGAGACAAATATATAGCTTTACATTTATTATGGGTATCTAGTCTAACAAATTAGATTTATAGTCTTCCTTGATATATCACTTTTTTCTCAACTGATGGCAACAGCAATCATGTTTTGCAGACTCTGAGCACTTCATAAAGTTACACTGACTCTATTTCTGGCTCCCTGCAGGCGATGAGATAGACCCTGTTTTCTTCTTATAATTATAATGCAATTTACTGAGATTGTTTTCCATCCTAAACCTTCCCACTCTTTAAACATGGTCAGATGCCAATTAATTATCTTAATCTTTTCTATCCCTTTACATCAAACTGAGTTCTAAATTGACATCCTTTTTAGCTGGATGGTTGGAGCTATTCCCTCAGAAAATAAGGCTTGGGTTAATCTAAGTCATTTGAATGCTCTTTTCTCCAATAATCCAGATGGCTTTATTCTGTATTCCTCTGGTAAAATGGAGGTTTGCTTACTGGCCATGGAGGGACAGCAATATTAAGATCAACTCATTTTGAGTTTTATAGGTTTTATGTGATAATTATGTTCCTATCTATTAGTGTTTCTAGCCAACCAGATCTGTCTCTCCAAAGTTATAAAGTCAGTTAACCAAAGCACTGTGATCTATCATATTCATCTGGAGAACGTATCCTTTTACCCATTATTTGTTCAAGTAAAGCTTTAAAGAGAGGCTTTCGCTGATGGCCTATAATTTGCTATGTATTTTGAGACCTATCTGTTATCACCCCAGAGAGACACAATTTTATTAAGGAACCAACAAGAAATTTAGGTTTATATATGCAGCTTTTATATAAAAAGAAAGTAAAAACAAACAACATTTTCTTCCTTTCCTAGATAAGGTACATTATGTTAGAATAATTTGTGATTCAAAGATTAAAGCCTAAAAATTTTTAAATTTGCAATCTCAGAAAACTAAACTTCAAAATAATCCATAAAATATTTAGCAACCTATCAGATAGTTCATTGGAACACATTTTTAGTCTCTTCTGTGGACGTTAGTGGGCATATGAGAGATACTATGGGTAATTTATGGGTAAATTCCCTAAGAATATTAGGGAATTTGGTTGTAGAATATTGATTTATACATTAATTCAATCAATATTCATTGAGAATACACTAAGCCCTAGGAATCAAGCCATGAGCAAAATGCATAAAATTCCTGCCCTCGGCTGGGTGTGGTGGCTCATGCCTGTAATTCTAGCACTGTGGGAGGCCGAGGCGGGCAGATCACGAGGTCAGGAGATCCAGACCATCTTCGCTAACACAGTGAAACCCCATCTCTACTGAAAATACAAAAATTAACCGGGCGTGGTGGTGGGCACCTGTAGTCCCAGCTACTCGGGAGGCTGAGGCAGGGAAATGGCATGAACCCAGGGAGGCGGAGCTTGCAGTGAGCTGAGATCACGCCACTGCACTCCAGTCTGGGCTACAGAGCGAGACTCCCTCACAAAAAAAAAAAAAAAAAAGGTCTCCCATTATTATTGTGTGGGAGTCTAAGTCTCTTTGTAGGTCACTCAGGACTTGCTTTGTGAATCTGGGTGCTCCTGTATTGGGTGCATATATATTTAGGATAGTTAGCTCTTCTTGTTGAATTGATCCCTTTACCATTATGTAATGGCCTTCTTTGTCTCTTTTGATCTTTGTTGGTTTAAAGTTTGTTTTATCAGAGACTAGGATTGCAACCCCTGCCTTTTTTGTTTTCCATTTGCTTGGTAGATCTTCCTCCATCCTTTTATTTTGAGCCTATGTGTGTCTCTGCACGTGAGATGGGTTTCCTGAATACAGCACACTGATGGGTCTTGACTCTTTATCCAATTTGCCAGTCTGTGTCTTTTAATTGGAGCATTTAGTCCATTTACATTTAAAGTTAATATTGTTATGTGTGAATTTGATCCCGTCATTATGATGTTAGCTGGTTATTTTGCTTGTTAGTTGATGCAGTTTCTTCTTAGCCTCGATGGTCTTTACAATTTGGCATGATTTTGCAGCGGCTGGTACCGGTTGTTCCTTTCCATGTTTAGTGCTTCCTTCAGGAGCTCTTTTAGGGCAGGCCTGGTGGTGACAAAATCTGGGGGGAGGGGGGAGGGATAGCTTTAGGAGATATACCTAATGCTAAATGACGAGTTAATGGGTGCAGCACACCAGCATGGCACATGTATACATATGTAACTAACCTGCACATTGTGCACATGTACCCTAAAACTTAACGTATAATAAAAAAAAAAATCCTGCCCTGAGAAAGCTTAACTTTTAGTAGTGATTTAAGAGAGGCAGAAAAACAAACAAATACATAAACTCAAGTGATGGTAAGTGCTATAGAATGAATGAAACAGGGCAAGAATAATTGTTTTTATATTGTCTTAGATAAGGTGGCCTTGAAAGGCTCATTTTAAAATTGACAATTGACCAGAAATCTAAAAGAAGTGAGGAAACAAGTCATGTAACCATTTGGAGAAGTTTTATATAATATTTAACTCTAGATATGGCTCTAAGTTCTCAATATATCTCAGGCAGTGGGGCAGAAACTTAAACATACTTGAATTCCTGATCGCAAACCAACCCATTGTTTCACTTTGGTAGATTATCAACATCTCCATATATCTCTGCCTCAGTTAGCTGTTAGCTGTAAAATAAAACACCCACCCTTTCTGGGTTAAAACAATGACTATATATTTAACCTAACAAGTCAGTGGGTTGATAATTCATGCTGGACTCTGATGCACAGCCCTTCTGGTGTCAGCAGGGTACTGAGCATTAGCTGTGGGTCAAATAAGTGGCTTTGTTGACCTTGGCTGGACTCAGATCTGTGGGTACTCAGCCTAGGACAGCTGAGCTCTCATCATCTAGCAGGGAAGCCAGACTTGTTTAAATGTCAGAGGCAAGGACTCCAGAGAGAGAATAGAAGCAGGCAAGGGCATTTGAGACTCAGAACTTTTCACAGTGTCACTTCCATTGATTCTGTTGACAAAAGAAGTCTTAAGTTGAGCCCAACTTTTAGAGGCGGGGAAACGAACATTTCTTTTGGGGAAACAAATTGCCAGGTTATACAGCAAAAACAAGTGGTTACAGGGAAGAAAATAGTTGGACCCATTTTTTTTCAAACAATCTGCTACAACTTTACTTTGCTTGCTGTTTTATTAGTTTATTTAAATAGGAATAGCAATGTCTGCTTCAGAGTTCTAACTAAAATCATGTAATGCAAATAATTAGTTCATAAATTTTTCTCAAAAGCAAAATTAAAGTGAGAGTTCATTTGTCTACTTTCAGATATTGTTTTAGAAAGTTACTTTGGTAAATGTCTGGAATTCTCTTAAGTGAGAAAAGGTTATGCAATTACAGCTAAAAATATAACCTCATTGAGTTACAAAAGTAATGATATATTTACAAAAGTTTTTCAAACATATTTATTTAAATAGATATAGGAGATTAATACTACCAAAGTTTATCATGTAGAAGAAAAACAAATAATCTATTAACTTCTTATATTAATATCTCAATACCATAGAAATAATTGCTAATATTTATTAATTTTAATATAATTCAACAGCTATTTATTGAGTGCTTCTAATATTGAAGAAACTGGAGATAAATTTTTGAGCAAACAGATTTAGCTCAGTGTATATGAATTTGACAGTTTGGTTTTTAATGTAACACTTGGTTTATTATGCTTTCTGATGAATATTACTTAAATTAATACTCAGAGTAGCCTTGTAAAATATAAGGATTAATATTTCCATTAAAAAGGTGAGGAAATTGAGGCTTTGAGAGGTGATCTAACACACTTCATCCTCTTCTGTTTTAACCAATATTGCCTCTTAAAAGCTGGCAAAGCTGTTGAATGGGAATATATATATATTTTGAATATTTATATATATTTTGAATATATATATTTGAATATATATAGTAAGTATAAATATATACACACATATATAGTATGAATATATGTACTATGTATATATGTATATGTGGTATGTATATGTGTATGTGTTTTATATGTACATAAACATTTATACGTGTATAGCTATTTGTGAATTAAGCTCACAGTTTTTCCTATCCCTTCACCTGGTACTAGATAATATCGTAAAAGGCCATCAGTGTGAACTTAGAAAAGGGTAATGGTGTTGAGTGACATGAGGATCTAGGCTATCTTTTTGTACATCTCACTTATTGCCACTGGAGCCATTCGAGGCCAGTTGCAGATTTATCCCTTCCATCTCACAGACTGCTTCTGGGTCCACATTATTATCTAGTGGTTCTGTTGCACTCAACTCAGGATGGGAAGCTCTGGCTGCATGCGCTCTTGATGTCTCCTGGCCAGGCTCTTACTTTATACCTGGCAATGTTTTTGAATGGTATATAGTTTTCTGCTGCAAATGGCATGGTCTTACTCTAAATCTTAGGTTTTGTTATGGACTGAATTGTCTTCCCTAAAATTAACATATTGAGATGCTCACCCCCAGTGTGACTGTATCTGGAAATACGGCCTTTAGGGAGGTATTTAAGGTTAAATGATTTGATAAGTATGGGGTCCTAATCCAATACTACTGGTGCCCTTACAATAAGAGGAAAAGACAAAAGGTCTCTTTCTCTCTTTCTCTCTCTGTCTCTCTCTCTATCACTGCACAAACAAAGAAATAAGGTCACATGCGGACATAAAATGAGGGTGGTCATTTATATTCTGGGAGAAAAGGCCTCACCAGAAAACAGCCCTGACAGCACCTTGATCTTAGACTTCCAGTCTCCAAACTGTCAGAAAATAAATTTCTGTTAAGTCTTCCAGTGTAGAATATTTGTTATGGCAACCTGACAAGACTCATACAGATGTATTCCATGTAACTTACCTATTAAGGTCTGCCAAGGAGTACTCACAGTGTCTTTTCCAAACATAAACACAACCCAGAAGTATTGGACTTTATAAATTAGCAGAATGACCTCTAGAAGACACAGCTGAGATACAATATTAGAGAAGTTATCCTGTGAGAATAGATGCTATCCTTCACAGTACAATATATATCTTATATCAATGGCCACAGTATGGTACAGTATATGCCCACTGGTTTGAATATATAGGCCTGTGAACCAAGAAGGGGAAGAAGAAAAGACCCTGCTCACTATCACTTCCAGTGACCCAGTTTCTTAACTTGCTCTTCTTGTCCTGACAACTTTAGGTTCTGTGGGTCTAGAAGTCCTGGTTTCCAGAGATGACACAGAGTTCCACCAAACTTCAAGTTGTGATAATCACCCGATCACATTGAACTACCCAGCCAGCAAACCTGAATGCAAGGAAAGTAGTTACCAAATTGGTGGGTGTAAATGGTCTTGATAACCAGGAAGAGGTGGAACTGCAGATATATTATAGCAGGACCAACTGTAGCAGCAGAGACTCAATTTACCCAGAAATTGTAACTAACTGTCCATAAGCTTGGAGAAGCTGTGGTGGAAAGCAAGGAACTGAATATGATAAGCAAGTAGATCTAAGAAATGTAAGGAATGAATTATGGTAGATAACTCAGGAGACCTGCCTAGATGTCCTTTACTGTCCAAGTGCACCTGTCCCTCATTTCTGTGCATAACAGCTGCATTAGCTAATGGCCGTACTCTTCTCTGGAGAGCTGCCTTGAATGATCAAAGCCTCCTAGCCCTGGAAGTCATGTCCCACTCCCAGGAGCAGGCTGTATTCAATTGCTAACTGATATGGAGAACTCATGGTTAGACAATGACATGGTACTATTCATTAGTTTCCCATTAGATTATTGACTTTTTCTTAGAGGTGAGACTTCAGCTGAACTTATATCTTTGCTTAGCTTCTTCCCTGTCCTGTTCTGTGTTCTCTACCGTCTATGAGTAACTCCTGAGAGCGTTCCTTAAATAAATCACGTATATGAGAATCCCTATCTTAGGCTCTGCTTCTGGATAACCTGACCTAAAATAGGTTGCAAGAATATATGTAAAAGCATCACTGCCAGGTAGAATTTTAACGCGTTTGCATAAGGAACCCTTTGCATTAGATTTTTGATGGTATTTTGTGTGTTAGGAATAGGATGAATTAAAAGTGGTACTACTTTACACACATTACGAGAATTTAAAGAAATATGTGAATAAAAATAATACAAGCTTGGGTTAAAAATGCTCCCTTCTGAATCAGTTTAAAAATCATCACAGAATTATCCTTCTTTAGAGGATTCAAACTTGTAGAACTGGCTGTTGCAAATCTTTCTACTTTTGCATGTGAATATATGGATTCACATATATTCACTTTATGAGAGGCAGTAAATATATTCAAATTTGGACATATAGTTAATCAAATTCAACTGGACTGCTATTCAGCTGAATATACTGCTATACTGAATCCTCAGGGCATTGGGGCTGCTCTGCAATGTCTCAAACCAAATCCTATTTCTCTATGTCATGTTGTAAACTATTAAGTTTTACATTAAAAACATCTGTGGTTGAAAGAGCATCTAAAATGTGCAAGATGTGCTTTATTTATTGTTTTTCAGTGACTTCTGATAATACTCCTGAATTTTTAAGATGAGGGAATGAAGTAGCTTGCCTTGATCCCTAAGAAGATTCCAGGCCAGATATTTCTTTATATTTATATTTATTTTTATTCCGATAGAGACAAGATCTCTTGTCTGTCACCTGGGCTGGAGTGTAGAGGCATGATCATGGCTCACTGCAGCCTCAAACTCTTGGGCTCAAGCAATTCTCCCACCTCAGCCTCCAGAGTAGCTGGAATTACAGGCATGCACAACTGTGCCTGGCTAATGATTGTTTTAATTTTTCATAGAGATGGGTCTTGCTATGTTGCCCAGGCTGGTCTCATACTCCTGGGCTCAAACGATCCTCCCACCTTGGCCTCCTCAAACTGTTGGGATTACAGGCATGAGCCATCGCGCCCAGGCCCAAGCCAGACATTTCTGATTCCAAAACCCATGCTTCCTTCATTATGCCATTATATCTTTGAAGGTCTTAGGCAAACCACTTTCTTAGCATCTGGAGCTAGCTAGATTGAGTGTTTCTCTGGTGTCTAGCTTTGGCAGAAAGGGTTGGATTACTATTATTTTCTGTTTTTCTGCTTTGGCTCTCACTGTTTGGAATTTCTTTTTCCTCTCAGCTATTACTTTTGAATAATAATATCTATAAAAATAGTAGCATCATCTGTGTAAACTATTGTTAAGTCACAGTCCTGAGCAAAGTCTGTTGCGTTCATTGTCTCATGCAATCCTTACAACCCTTGCTGTAACTGCTTACAAATGAGAACTTTGCCTGTTGAAGAGTTTAGGCTAATTGCTGAGGTAACAGATAGTGTGTCAGTGAGATTTGATCCTTAGCAATTGACATCAGAGTATTCCCTTTTAAACCGGATGGAATTTATTGCAGCTGTGCAAAATAATGTTCTCCCCAGAAACAGTACAATTTGCAATAGTTTAGTTTGCTTCTCCTTGGTTATTTCTGAAGTAGCTCAAAAATAACTCATAGCTTGTAGTCCTTATAAATGTCACCAACTGCAAAGATTTTCCTTTGGATTTTGTCCCTTTATTCCTTTTAATTATGCTCAATATCTTGTGGATCCATTTCTTTCTTATGCACTTTTTCTAATTATTCCAACTCTCTAATATTTTTAGAATCTAAGATGTATCATGTAATGCGATAGATGCTGAGGATAGGAGCATGAATAAATATTTCTCTTGCCCTCAAAGAGTGCAAATTCTGGTTTAATTGATCATTTGTTTTTTACATGTGCCTTTTCTTTTTTTAATTTTACTTTTTATGGATACCTAATAATCGTACATATTTATGGGGTACATATGAAATTTTGATACAAGCATACAATGTGTGATGATGAAATGAAGGTAACTGGGATATCCACTACCTCAGGCATTTATCATATATTTGTGTTAGGAATATTTCAAATTCACTCTTCAAGTTATTTTGAAATATACGATAAATTATTGATGAGTATAGTCACCTTATTATGCTACCAAACACTGTATCTTATTTTTTCTATATAACTGTATTTTTATAACCATTAACTAACCACTCTTAATCACCCACTCTTACTTACCTTTCTCAGATTCTGGTAACCATCATTCTACTCCTTACCTCTATGAGATCAGTTTTTTTTTAGCTCTCACATATAAGTGAGAACACGCAATATTTGTCTTTGTGTGCCTGGTATTTCACTTAAACTAATGACCTCCAGTTCCATTCATGTTTTTGCAAATGATATGATTCTATTCTTCGTATGGCTAAATAACATTCCATTGTATGTAGGTACCACATTTTCTTATTCATTCATCTGTTGATGTACACTGGGGTTAATTCCACATATTGGCTATTGTAAATAGTGCTGCTGTAAACATGGGAGTGAAGACACCTCTCTGATATGCTGATTTATGTGCTTTTGGATATATACAGAGCAGTGGAATTTAATTTTTAGTTTTTTGAGGAACCTTCATATTGTTCTCCATAGTAGCTGTACTAATTTACATTTCCACCAGCAGTGTAGTAGGATTCTTCTTTCTACATATTGTCCTCGTCCACTTATGATCAGAATCATACTTTAATTTTGCCACATGACAGAGTAAGATAGGCTTAATTGCCACAGGTTTTGTATCAGATGATGTTACAGGAATCTTCTTGAATTTGTATTACTTATAGTAAACAGAGTTAACAATTTTCATAGGCCAACTACCTCAAAATTTTCAGTGTTGAAGAGAACAAAACTAGCTTACAATCAGGTTTCTGAAAAATGGATGTGACCTGTTTTCATCTTCCTTCCCCGATTCCTCGTCCAAACACTCTATGTTCAGAACAAGCAGTTTCATTTGTCATTAGTCATGTGTACTGTTGGTTTGTCTTTTTCTATGCTTCTCCTCAAATATTTTCTATACTTAAAAAAGCTCAGTCCATTCCTATCTAAACAGACAGTTTTCAGTTATATGCCTCAGTAGTTGTGTGTGTATATAGATATATATACACACATCATATATATGTATATGATACATGTATATATGACATATATGTAATATAGTTTACATATGAGATATGTAAATATATGTGTGTGTGTGTATATATATATATATATATAAAATCAGTGAAGCAATGGAAAGAAGGAAGAATTAGAGATAATGACAAGAGTATATAGGTTGAGGGCATTTGTGTGTTTGTGTGTAAACTTCAAACAACACAATTTATTTCTTTGTACAATCCAGCACTTTTTCTGCTTCATGTTGTGGCAGAAGGGGTACTGGGTAAACAGAAGGTACAAAAGGGTCTCAATCATATGGCTGGCAGCTGGAATTGATCACCACATCCTTAGTTCTCTTTCATGGGTGCCTCACCACATGGCTACTTGGGCTTCCTCATGGGATGGCAGTCTCACGCTAGGCAAACTTCTTACTTGGGAGGTGTCTTTCTCCAGAATGCAGAAGTAGACACTACCAAGCTATCTTAAAATTTAGTTCAAAAGTTCCACCGTATTCTATTAGTTGAAACAGGCCATAGTTAAAGTAAGCCAAAGTCAAGATAGCTTATGGTTAAATTGCCCGGGTTTTAAGGGGACTTCAGATGAACATGCAGTATACTGGGGGCCATCAATGTAAAAATCTATTACTTCAAATAACTCCTCCAAACCAGTAGGCAAGTAGTACTTCTGGGATTATAACCCAGGTCTATCCATTTTCTTTCAAGAAGGACTTGATATCTTCAGGCATGAAGCATGACCTCCCCATCACCAAATAACTTGACTAAAAACAACTATTACCCAGCAGACGCCAGATAGTTGTACTCTTTACCCTAAGAGTTGAAGAACACAGGCACAGTCATCTTTGCAGAGAGCACCTCTTTGACCTTCATGGTTGCATCAGAGAATGAAGAGCCCCCTAAATAAGTAAGAAAATAACCAGTGACATAGAATACACTTTTGATGGCAACTGGGAAAAAATTATTAAAAACAGTTATCATCATCTGGGAGGACATTTTAAACAGGGTGATCAGGGATAGCTCTCTGATCACATTTGAACAGATACTGGGAGGAATTTGCAGCCGCTATGCAAAGTAATGCTCCCCTTGCGAAGAAATAGTACAAGCATCACCCTTCAGAAACCTGTCTGACAGAGGCTCCTAGAACAGAGTCAATGACAATTACCTTGCTGTCTCTGCCATCTCCTTGTTTTGCACCATTCACTGCATGCCTGCACCACAATACCATTTAATACCATTATTTTGATGGAGATCTATATATTGAGAAAAGGCAAAACTAAAATTGCCTTTAATGTTGTGCTCTCTGGAACAGACAAGACATTTGGAATTTGTAGCTGCAGACAGATGTGTGTGGATGTTCTGTCCTGTGTGTTACTCTTTAAAGTAAATAAAGAGGGCCATATCCCAAGACTTGAAAGTGTTCTTCCTCTTTCAGTATTTTGCTCAAATCTCATTTTAGTTCCTCTTTTTCTATATCTTGAAAATAAAACATTTAATTATGTCCTCTATCTTGAAAATAACAAATTTAACAAATTCTATATCTTGAAAATAACAAATTTAATTATTTTTCTCCAGTGTAGTAGTTCTCATTTTATGCAGCAGTTCCTGCATCCTTGCCTCCATCTTGATTTCCTTAAATCGGGGAAGAGAATAGGAATGACATCGGATTCAATGTCTCAGTGTGGTCTGCTTTTTATTAGTGCCATCTCTGTGAAAGACGAGAAGGTCCACAGCCTCACTATTTAGGGAAATCTGCTGGCAGTTTCTCACCTTGCTGGTTATCTTTGCAAAACTGTAAGCGTTTGGTTCTGTTTTTTCCCTTGTAACCATTTAATTATTCCCCAAGTAGCAAAGCTTTCATGCATCCAGAGGGCCAGAGACTTAGTCCGAGGAAGTACCAGGTGTTAGCCCAGTTTTCCCAGTGAAAGGCTTGGAGATTCATTATCAACTCAGCCTCTGGGAGCTCTGTCCACTTCTCGACCCCTTGAAGATCCTGTTCAAATCCAATGGACAAAATTGCTTTTAGCTAAGTCTCTCAGTGTCTCAGGAGTAAAGAACTTTAAAAAAATAAATGTAGAGTTGTTTTGTTTTGTTTTCAATTGATAGGCTGGAACTGTTTGTTTGAGATCATAGGCACACACTATCCTTGGTGGTTTCTTTATCAATGTTGTTAGCAAATCTTTTATGACAAAATAGAGTTTCAAGGAAAAATAAAAAGAAAAAAACAAGAGAAAGAAGGAAAAAAAAATTGAACGCCCCCTCCAAAAAAAAAAATAGAGTTTCACACAATTAAAATAAGAATATTTCTCTTTTTACAAGGATACTTTTCCAAAAAATTATAGCAATAATTGTCTAATTTTACTAACCTAATTTTACTTATCAGTTCACTCAGTTTAGTATGCCAGTTACTGTGCAAAGTACTAAAAAGCTTGATCTACTTATGAGAATGTTTAAAGTTAGGGGCTGCTATTTGTATTTTATAAATGACGTTCAGAGAGGTGAAATCATTTTTCACAGTTGCAGAGCTAACAAGTAGCAGAACAAGTGCTCTGTGAAATTAAATTCAAGGTGTGACTTTTTGGTTCACACATGGTTATCAATCCAAAGCCAGCTTTAATGTGGAATGTGCTGTCTTGAAGATTCTATCTTAGTGTGGCTGCATAGAAGAGAAAACCAATGTCTTTTACTGTCACACTGCATTTGTATACTGCTTCAACACATTAGGATTGTCATTTTAAGAATTCTTTCAGAAGTCCTCAGCATTATAAATGCAGTCTACATGAGAGTGTATGTGAAACAGCTATATTTAAAAAAAAAAGTCCTGTCCAGATGGATCTTTAACAGTGTTGTGCAGAAAGTACCCATCGTTTCAAGTTTATGCATAATGAGGGATCCTTTTTCCACTGGGACTTTAGGTGGCTACTCCTTTATAAGAACACAAGAGAAATCTTCCCCCACTCCAAGTGGGAGAATGATGATATTGCAGATCAGAGATGGCCCTGGTTAGAAAGCACAGAGCTAGCACCTTAAAATTAGAAAAACATTTTTTTTCCTAGAAGGTAGCATATTGCTCAGTATTTTAAAAAAGGTAAACCTCTCAGATATAAGATTAACACTTCTAATATTTCTAATACAATGGTTGCATTTGACATGAGTCTTTAGCAGGCTCCTAAGCCAATCATAAATGTTTCCTGCATATGGTAAAAATAACCCTGAAACTAACAAGGACCTTTCCAATTCAGAAAGCCATACTTTACAAAGGGTATTAGTGATAGATTGAATGCTAATAAAATTTTCATTACACAAGAAAAAGTGTTTTCACTTAATTATATATGGCAATTTTCACCAATCATTTTGTGTTAAAGAATTGGAAGTTTATATCAGAACCACAATGAACACTATTTTTATATTTGTCTAAACAGTTCTTTAGTTTATTATAGAATAAAATCTTTATAAATTTCATTTTTATAACATATTGCTGTCAGTCTCAACCAATCAATTTTTATCCTTCTAAGATCCTCTCTAGGAACTGTTATAAATATATAGCTGGCAGGGCAGGCTCACCCATTCTAAATAATCAAGACTCTCATACTCAGATTGGGCAATGCATTTGCAACATTATTTTTCCTTAATAATCTGTATTTTGATACCTACTGTTCCTATTTAGCTATAATATACATTTAAAAAAACCCACTGCCCCTTGTTTCAGCCTACAATCACAATGTATACTTGGAATATAATAATGTTTACAATGTATACTTGGAACAGAATGATTATATGATGCCTCATTTTGTCATCATCCCTGTAGGTGAAACCCTTCATCTTGATTGCCAACAACATTAATAAACTCCCCAGAAGTCTAGATATGGGCAATGAGGATGAGTGTGTGAGAACCAGAAAAACTTATATTACTCACTTTGAATCCAGAGATTTATCTCTGCAAAGCTTTCATCACAATCTATTATATTCCTTCATTTGAAAATGCTCAAACTTGAAATTCTTTTTCTGTGTATTCTTTATACTTGCCACAATGTGACACTTTAAAAATTCTGAGTTTTCATTAATATTTTCTCCTACATTCTACTCTGCATAAGCACATTTTCTGGACACTGGTAGAGCATCTAGCAAAATGTTAAAATGTCTCAGTAAGTTTTACTAAGCACCATTTTGTAATGTAAGAAATTATTTCTTCATTTATATACTTTTTCTATTGTTGTCTGTTTAGTAGGAAGCTTCCAGGGTAAGCAGTTTAACATGCTGGCTGTTAAATACATTTACCCATCATGCAAAGAAGGATAACAGGTATTATTGTATATTATTCTGAAGAGTTTTCTGTCTCTTCTCCTAACCATAAATATGCCCAGAATCTCATAATAGTCTCATGTCACCCTTTGAGTTGCCCTTTATATTCTTTTAGAGCTATTGCTTGACCCAATATTTCATAGAGCCTCCTTTAGTACTACTGAGAAAGTATCTTCTTCACTTTTCTCTTACATTTTATACAGTGCCACATATTTTAATCATATAACCTCTTCTTAACCTTTTATTTGTTACTTAGAATGATTATAAGATGGAGCTCGTTAAATAACAAGATTCTGGTTAAGTAAGAAGATGCTGTTCTGGAATTGTTAAATGGATAGGTAAGCTTTTTATGATAATATTCCCCACATGAAAAGTCATGGTGCTACTTATTTCTGCAATTGAGAAAGTTTGTTAGTAGAAAACTACGATTTTGTTCTAATTAAACAAACAAGTGACACCTTAATACACAAACAAAAGTCTGTGTTATTCTCCATCCTCTCATACCATTTCCTATTTTTTTTAAACAAACCTGTTGTCAGGTTTAAATTGGCTTTCTTGGTTGAAACCAGCAGTCTTAATTTGCAATTGAAATTCATCCAATTAAACAATAGATTGCCTGGAATTAATGGTAATTGAACAATCTAAATTAAATGGGAGAAATTGTGGACAAGTGAAGAGGAAAATAAACATGGCACAATTTAAGCTTGGAAAGTCACATACATTAACGAGACCATGGAACCATGTTTCATGAGATGTCGTTTGCCTTCAGACACATCTATAAAAGCCTTTGTGGGACACTACACTGACCTAAAAAGCGAATATCTTGGCAGACGTTGAGACAACTAGAATTGAAGTAGCCACAAAAAGCCTATATTTGCAATGGATTTACTTTCTTTTGGTTAATAGGACATGGCAAAATATCCCTGTGATACCATCAACCACACAAATGTGACAAGAAAGGAATCTTCCATTGCATGTATTGTAATATTGACCCATCAAAGGGTATAAGTCTCCTTTCTCAGGCATGAAGCAACAGCTATGACTCTGGAAAATAAGTATGATGGTGAAGCTTAAATTGATTTGTTGCCCAAGAAAAAGAATTATAAGAAATGCAATCTGGTTCTTGCGTAGGCAGTGCTAGGTCTTTGGAGAGCTAACTCAAAATAGTTGACTTTTCAAAAAGGGGTTTCTGACTGGCTTACATGGCCTGGTTATCCATTCACAGCAAGAAATCCTATCCCTAAATAGACTGTTATGATCACCTGCAGAGAACGATGGATTCCCCTAGCAAAACTTGGTTTGGAGACACTAATGATGGCACAAACATACCAAGAAGGTATGAAAAGACATCAAGAATATATAAAAAATACACCAAGAAGGTATGAAATTCTCCTTATTATATTGAAATTATGCAATTTCAGATACATAATTGAGGTCTCTGGAAAGAGTAAGGCAGGCCCCTCAAGACAGTTAGTTAGAAATGGCTTGAGAGCCCAGTGCAGTGGTTCATACCTATAATCCTAGCAGCTCAGCAGGCTGTGATGGGAGGTTTGAGACCAGGAGTTTGAGATGAGCCTGGGCAAAATAGTGGGACTGCATCTCTAAATAAACAATCAAGCAAACCGAAAAATACCTGGGTATGGTGGTACATGCCTATAGTCCTAGGTATTTAGGAGACTGAGGCAAGAGTATCACTCGAGGCCAGGAGTCAGAGGTTGCAGTGAACCATGATAATGCCACTGCACTCCAGCCTGGATGATGAATTAGGACCCTGACTCAAAAGAAAGAAAGAAAGAAGGAAATCAAAGAAAAAAAGAAATGATTCAAAAAGGGAGAGAAATAAATGGCTTGAGAGAGCTAGGAAAAAAGAATGGCATGAGTTTTCCTTGTGGTTAGGAGATGAGGCTAGGGTGAGGATTCTCTGGTGTGGACAGAGACTTTCCTGGTTTGAATCTCCTGCTGGTACCCACGGATCACCCAGGTTTTCTTACCAGCTTGTCTAGATATAGGACACAAGAAAAAGAGGGAAGGACAAGGCTTAAAAGTTCTCATCAGTCAAATACTTTTTTTAAAAATTGGAATCATAGTCATCATTGCAGAGTCTGAGTACTGGGACTGAGCAATGTCAACATAAGAATGCCTCTTAATATGCTCTTCATCCTGCAAACAGAGCTGACCTACTGACACGCTTACCTATCCCATTACTGCAAAATGGAAGCAGAGATTGGCGTGCTACAGCCACAAGCAAAGGAATTCTAGCAGCCACCACAATGTGGAACAGGCAGAGAAGTTATCCCCTAGAGCCTCTGGTTATATACGGTCCTAACAACACCTTGATTTCAGTCCACTGAAACTAATGAACTTCTGGCCTGCAGAACTATGAGAGAGCAAACTTCAGTTGTTTCAGCCACCAAATTTGTGATCATTTGCTCTGACAGCCACACAAATGAATACATATGGAATATAGGTGGATAAAATAGAATGTAAACATGAGAAGACTATACCAATAAAAAAGGTTATTAAATCTGAATTGTAGGATGTGTGTGGATGTATAAGGCATGACAAGATAAAGCATGTGAAACAATGATGACAATTACAGCTATAGAAATGAATATAGAGTGGTAACAAATTTAAGCCACAAATTAGATGACTCAAAACAACAGTAATTTTCTTCACTCAGAGTCCTTGTGGCTAGAAATTTAAAATGAAGGTGTCATGAAGATTGTGCTCCCTTGTAAGCTCCAAAGAAGAACCTTTCCCTGCCTCTTCCAAGCTTCAAGTATTCCCTGGGGATTGTTGGCATTCTCTGGCTTGTAGCTGCATCAGACACTATGAATTTTGCCTTCATCCTCACATAGCTGTTTTCCCTCTGTATGTGCCTGTGTCATTGTTTCCCACATTTTTAAAAAATTTTTTTTATTTTTTGAGACGGAGGAGTCTCACTCTGTCACCAGGCTGGAGTGCAGTGGCATGATCTTGGCTCACTGCAACCTCTACCTCCCATGTTCAAATGATTCTCCTGCCTCAGCCTCCCAGGTAGCTGGGACTACAGGTGCGTGCCACCACGCCCAGCTAATTTTTGTATTTTTAGTAGAGACAGGGTTTCAGCATGTTGGCCAAGATAGTCTCTCTCTCTTGACCTCGTGATCCACCCACCTCAGCCTCCCAAAGTGCTGGGATTACGGATGTGAGCCACTGTGCCCGGCCCACAATTTTGGCTTCTTATAACATCAGTCATTGAATGTAAGGCCTGCCCTAATGCACTATGACCTCATTTTAACTTGATTATATCTTCAAATACTCTAATTACAAATAAGATCACATTCACTGGTACCAAAGGTTAGGACTTTAACATATTTTGCTGGGGAGGAACACCATTTTCCTAACAGCAGAAAGTAATAACAATCTTAGGAAATTTAGACTTTAAACTAAGAGTAATGAAAAACATTTCCAAAGATTTTACTCAGGAAGAGACATTATTATATAATCGATCATTTTACATATCCTGGATGTTATGGACGAATGGCTTGAACTGAAAAATAATTAAGACCTAGACACTATTTATCAGGCTGTTGAAATAATCCAGGAATATAATGTTGAAGCTCTAAACTAGTAAAATATACATTACGTTCTAAATAATTGGATTCAAAAAAGATTTAGGAACTAGACTGTATATAATTGGAATTTAATTGGATATATAATGAAAAGAATTACAAAACATTTGCAAGGAATATGGGAGGACAGATATATCTTTGAGAACTTAATTTCAATTCTTTCATATATATATATACCCAGAAGTAAGATTGGTGAATCAATCACACAGTAGTGCTATTTTTTTAATTTTTTGAGGAATCTCTATACTGTTTCCCATTCTACATTTCCACCAATAGCGTACAAGGGTTCCAACTAGCCCGCATCCTCACCAACACTGATCTTTTGTTTTTTGATAATAGTAATCATAGCAGGTGTGAAGTGATATCTCATTTTGGCTATGATTTACATTTCTCTGATGATTAGTTGTGTTCAGCATCTTTTTATATACTTGGTGGTCATTTATATGCTTTATTTGGAAAAATTTCTGTTCAAGCCTTTTGCCCATATTTTAATAGGGTTATCTGTTTTTTGCCATTGAATTGTAGAAGTTCCTTATGTATTTTGGAAATTAATCATTTATCACATACATAGTTTGTAAATATTTTCTCCCATTGTTTAGGCTGCATTTACAGTCCATTGATTTTTTTCTTTGCTGTACAGAAGCTTTTTAGTTTGATGTAGTCCTGCTTATCTATTGTTGCATTTGTTGACTGTGTTTTTGTTGTCATATCCCAAGGATCATAGCCGTGATCAATGCCATTAAGCTTTTCCCTATGTTTTCTTCTAGTAGTTTAACAGTTGCTGATACTATGTTTAAGATTTTAACACATTTTGAGTTGGCTTTTGTATATGGTATAAGGTAGTTCATTTTTATTATTTTGCATGTAGATAACCAGTTTTCTCAGTTCCATTTTTTGAGGAGACAATTATTTCTCCATTGTGTTTTCTTAGCTAATCATTGAGGTTCTATTCACAATAGCCAAGATGGGGAAATGATCCAAGGGTCCTTTGACAGATTAATGAATCAAGAAAATGTGCTATATACATATAATAGAATATTATTAACTCTAAAACAGAAGGAAATCTGCAACATAATGGCCTGTCACATCTCTGTCACTCTACAATAATTAGTGATATTAATACTATTATTTAGAAAAAATTGATTTCCTATGACATAGGTTATGACATGTATTTTGTCTCAGGTGCCTCATTCACAGGGTAGGTTAAGGGACAATATCTAAAGTTCTTTTCTGCTGCTTCCAGTGTATAAAGACATTAGTTAAGACATAAACAAGAAACAGATAATCATGAACTCAAGTTAGAAAATCATGAGAGTTTAGTGAAGGAATTATTTTCAAAGCGTGCACAGGTTTGAGGGAAATCAATGAGGGAATGTGAGGTTTCCCAGGGTTAGTAACAGGGGAGAAGATGTTTCTGTAACTTGAGGGTAAAAGAGGTCATGGAAAGAGTAGTTAGTAGAAATTGGGGAGAGAACTACATGGAAAAGGATTCCTGAAAAAAAAAAAAAAAAACAACAACTATGACCTTAATGAAATGAAACAGCCAACCACTGTTAACACTGCAGGGAGGAACCAGGTAAATAAATACTCTGATCTCACTTCTCCACCTGCTCTCTAGTATCTTACTTGAGCATCCCATTGGTCTTACTGTAACCTAACCCAAAGGGCAGTGGAGTACACTGATGCCTTCCATGAAGTTTATACTTCAAGTCACAAAGCAAGGCCCTGAGCAAATGGAAGATATGTAGCACAGATTTTGCTGGAACATCATTCTCATGAAACTTTAGTATCATAAAAGAGTTTAGAAAGGAAAAAAAAAGGAAAAAAGTCATGGAAAAGCTAATTACTTCTCATAGGTTGATTTTTTTTTTTTTTTTTTTGACAAACTACAAGGTTTATCTACCTAGGTACAGATGGAATATGTTTAATTGGCAACTAATGATTTTCATGACTAAAGTAATTTCTGACTCCACAATCCTTGTTACCCTTTAATATGGAATCCTACTAATCAGAAAAAGCAGTGTTTAATCTGTTTCTGATACAATTGAAGGTGTGAATAATTTGTTGGAGTCATTTACACAAGGTTTGGTTGATGGATTCTATCTTTAGTTTTATCTGATAATGAATACTGACATTTATTTCTGATATGAAAATGTCACAGTTCTCTTGAATTGAGTGGTAGAAAATCAATACATATTCAATTTGTTTTTCTATTTTAAAAGTTTTAATGGAAATTCTCATTGGCTTTTTACCAGTATTCGTTTAACACTAGAAACATATTATCACTTTAATTAGAATATATCTTTTTGTAAGACATACCCTAGAGTGAACACCACCTAATGAGTGAGCTCTAGTTGTCCTAATAACATTTTTATTTTGTCAGGAATCTGAAAATACCCTAAACCCAATTTGGATTAACTTCTTCATTTCATCTGAAGTCTAGATCTGTTTTGGTTGGGGTTTTCTGTGAGAATATTGACAATAGGGTTCTGTGTGAAACACAAAGTGATTGAAGAAAGAAGCTCTAGGTGAATTTTTCTGGGTAGATGGAAACCTGAAGCACTGGATCCATGTGACAAGAAGGGGATATGACTCTGAAGACTGTCACTCAGTACAAGTTAGCAATGTTCCCCTAGAACTATGAAATGCTCTAACATGGGATATGTTTGAATTCGGTTTGGGCAGGTCCTTTCTCCATCACTTTCATAGGCAAAGCAGAGCTCTCTGAGTTGTTTCCCTGCTCAGTTTCCAAAATACCCCTTCAGACCTAATGACTGCATAGGGTGTACCTTTCCAAATTGTCCTCACTTATGAATTAGCTCAAAATTAAACCTGATTAATTTTTGAATCTAATTTCCCCATGTTAATTCTATAAATATTCACATACTGCATCTGTTTACTTTTATTTTATAGAGGCAGGGTTTCACTCTGTTGCCCAAGCTGGAATGCAGTGGCACAATCATAGCTCACTGCAGCTTTGACCTCTTGGCTTCAAGCTATTCTTCCACCTCAGCCTCCTGAGTAGCTGCGGCTACAAGCACATGTCATGACACCCAGCTAATTATTATTTTATTTTTTATAGAGACAGAGTCTTGCTATGTTGCCCAGGCCAGTCTTAAACTCGTGACATAAAGTGATCCTCTTGCCTTGGCTTCCCAAAATGCTGGGATTACAGGCATGAGCCACTGCATCTGGCCTGTTTATTTTTCTAATGAGACTATAGTTTTACACTCTCATCATAAAATGATTTAAAGAAGAAATAAGCTAGATAAATTTCCTTTGAAAAACATGGGCAAAAAAAAATTTAGACACTATCTATATACATCTTTACATTGACATTAAACTATAATTTTGTGGTAAATTTCATGATTTTGAGAAGGCTATGTAGACAGAAAGAGTCATGGTGGAGTGAAGAGTTAAGGAAATAGAAATGATAGGTTGGAGAGACTAAGGCATCTAGAGGTTTCAAGGAAGATAATTTGAAAGAATTCTGCATTGAGTGAAAACTCCAGAGACCTATGGAAGTTTCCCTTTGAGTACTCTATAGAATACTGATTAGTGTATGAGTGTAAGAAAACATCCCAAGGTTGGATGAATATCTACCTTCAAGGATTACAGAGGTTGTTACATAAAGATCAAGCAGATTTGTTAATAGAGTCTGTTTTCACCAGCCAGATTGGGACACAGGGAATTAGGTAGAGGACTCAGAAGATTCTTGCTTTTATAGTGTGGAAAAATCTCTAAATGTGTTTCTGCCAAATCTTAAAGCAACATCTGAAAGGACAAAACTTAACTGTGTGTGAAAACAAAGCTCAAGATTATTTGTAGAATTGCAAAGTATCCAGTACACAAGAAGGTAAAATTTACAGTATCGCATATCAGCAAAAAATTACAAGGCATGGCAGATCACCAGGCCAGTAAATTGAGTCCATCCTGACTAACACAGTGAAATCCTGCCTCTACTAAAAACAAAAAATTAGCCAGGTGTGGTGGCATGCGCCTGTAGTCCCAGCTACTTGGGAGGCTGAGGTAGGTGAATTGCTTCAATCTGGGAGGCAGAGATTGCAGTGAGCCGAGATTACATCACTGCACTCCAGCCTGGAAAACACAGCGAGACTCCGTCTCAAAAAATAAAATAAACAAAAAGGCATGAAAGTAAGTAGAAAGATGCAACCCGTGAGGAGAAAAATTAATCAATGAAAACCAATCTAGACATGACAGACAAGCTAAAATTAGCCAAAAAGAACAATAGTACAGTTATTGTAACCATATCCTATGTTCAAAGGCTAAAGAAAAGATTAAAAATGAGGAGTAAAAACATGGAAAATATAAAAGTGATCCAAAATGAACCTCTAGATATGAGAACAACATTGTATGAGATTTCTTTAAAAAATGCAATGGTTGGGAACTGGAGCATATTAGGTCTATCAGAAGAAAAGATTAACGAACTTGAAGACACAGCACAACAAATTACCCAAACAGAAGAAATAAGACTCAAATAAATGTACAGAACATGAGTGATAAGTATTTTAAGTGGCCCAATATAGGGGTAATTGAAGTCCCTGGAGTAAGAGAGAAGAGCGATAAAAATAAACATTGGCTAAAAATGTTTCCCAGTTGATAAAGTACACAAACCAATAGATACAAGAAACTTAGTAAAGAAACATGAAGAGAAGCACTCTAAGGCATAATGTAATAAATTTCCTCAAGACCAGTGATGATGAGAAATTTTAAATGCATCTGGAGAAAAAAGACATATTACATACAAAAATAAAGATGGTAGCAAATTTCTTTCTAGAAGCAATGCAAATGGAAAGAAAGGTAGAAATATCTTTTAAAAAGAAAGAAAAAGAAACTATCAACCCATAGAAATTCTATACCCACAGAAATTTCTTTCAGAAACAAAGGTTAAATAGAGACTTTTCCAGTTGTATAAAAATTGAAATGATTACTCACCAGTAGACCTTCTGCACTGCTGTAATTTTTTACAGAAAGTTACCTAAGTCGAAAAAAAATTATACAACATAAAAATAAGTATCTTTTCAAAGAAGAACATGGGAAATAAAAGACATAGGTTAATACACAAGCCTTTATTATGTAAATGGCAGTTTAAACCAAAATAGTAACAATATAGTGCTAATAATAAATATATAAAGTAAATGAATTATAAAAAAATAACAGTATATTTCTAGAAATAAAGTTCATGACAAAAATGGCATGAAGGCTAGGAGTAATGAAAATATATAATTGAAAATAAAATATTACTGGGAAAGTGGACTCTGTCAAGTTAAAAATGAATACTATAGGCCAGGCGTGGTGGCTCACGCCTGTAATCTCAGCACTTTAGGAGGCTGAGGCAGGTGGATCACAAAGTCAGGAGTTTGAAACCAGCCTGATCAACATGGTGAAACCCCGTCTCTACTAAAAATACAAAAAATTAGCTGGATGTGGTGGCACATGCTTATAATCCCAGCTATTCGAGAGGCTGAGGCAGGAGAATCACTTGAACCCAGGAGGTGGAGGCTGAGGTCAGCAGATTGTGCCATTGCACTCCAGCCGGGCGATAGAGCAAGATTGTGTCTCAAGAGGAGCCAAGATGGCCGAATAGGAACAGCTCCAAGTCTACAGCTCCCAGCGTGAGCAACGCAGAAGACGGGTGATTTCTGCATTTCCATCTGAGGTACTGGGTTCATCTCACTAGGGAGTGCCAGACAGTGGGCGCAGGTCAGGGGGTGCGCGCACCGCACCGTGCGCGAGCCGAAGCAGGGCGAGGCATTGCCTCACTTGGGAAGCGCAAGGGGTCAGGGAGCTCCCTTTCCTAGTCAAAGAAAGGGGTGACAGACGGCATCTGGAAAATCGGGTCACTCCCACCCCAATACTGCGCTTTTCCGACGGGCTTAAAAAATGGCGCACCAGGAGATTATATCTCGAACCTGGCTCGGAGGGTCCTACGCCCACAGAGTCTCGCAGATTGCTAGCACAGCAGTCTGAGATCAAACTGCAAGGCAGCAGCGAGGCTGGGGGAGGGGTGCCTGCCATTGCCCAGGCTTGCTTAGGTAAACAAAGCAGCCAGGAAGCTCGAACTGGGTGGAGCCCACCACAGCTCAAGGAGGCCTGCCTGCCTCTGTAGGCTCCACCTCTGGGGGCAGGGCACAGACAAACAAAAAGACAGCAGTCACCTCTGCAGACTTAAATGTCCCTGACAGCTTTGAAGAGAGCAGTGGTTCTCCCAGCACACAGCTGGAGATCTGAGAACAGGCAGACTGCCTCCTCAAGTGGGTCCCTGACCCCTGACCCCCGAGCAGCCAAACTGGGAAGCAACCCCCAGCAGGGGCAGACTGACACCTCACATGGCCTGGTACTCCAACAGACCTGCAGCTGAGGGTCCTGTCTGTTAGAAGGAAAACTAACAAACAGAAAGGACATCCACACCAAAAACCCATCTGTACATCACCATCATCAAAGACCAAAAGTAGATAAAACCACAAAGATGGGGAAAAAACAGAGCAGAAAAACTGGAAACTCTAAAAAGCAGAGTGCCTCTCCTCCTCCAAAGGAACGCAGTTCCTCACCAGCAACGGAACAAAGCTAGACGGAGAATGACTTTGACGAGCTGAGGGAAGAAGGCTTCAGACGATCAAATTACCCCGCGCTACGGGAGGACATTCAAACGAAAAGCAAAGAAGTTGAAAACTTTGAAAAAAATTTAGAAGAATGTATAACTAGAATAACCAATACAGAGAAGTGCTTAAAGGAGCTGATGGAGCTGAAAACCAAGGCTTGAGAACTACGTGAAGAATGCAGAAACCTCAGGAGCCGATGTGATTAACTGGAAGAAAGGGTATCAGCGATGGAAGATGAAATGAATGAAATGAAGTGAGAAGGGAAGTTTAGAGAAAAAAGAATAAAAAGAAATGAGCAAAGCCTCCAAGAAATATGGGACTATGTGAAAAGACCAAATCTACATATGATTGGTGTACGTGAAAGTGACGGGGAGAATGGAACCAAGTTGGAACACACTCTGCAGGATATTATCCAGGAGAAACTTCCCCCCATCTAGCAAGGCAGGCCAACGTTCAGATTCAGGAAATACAGAGAACGCCACAAAGATACTCCTCGAGAAGAGCAACTCCAAGACACATAATTGTCAGATTCACCAAAGTTGAAATGAAGGAAAAAATGTTAAGGGCAGCCAGAGAGAAAGGTCGCCTTACCCTCAAAGGGAAGCCCATCAGACTAACAGCAGATCTCTCGGCGGAAACTCTACAATGCAGAAGAGAGTGGGGGCCAATATTCAACATTCTTAAAGAAAAGAATTTTTAACCCAGAATTTCATATCCATCCAAACTAAGCTTCATAAGTGAAGGAGAAATAAAATCCTTTACAGACAAGCAAATGCTGAGAGATTTTGTCACCACCAGGCCTGCCCTAAAAGAGCTCCTGAAGGAAGCACTAAACATGGAAAGGAACAACCAGTACCAGCTGCTGCAAAATCATGCCAAAATGTAAAGACCATTGAGACTAGGAAGAAACTGCATCAACTATCGAGCAAAATAATCAGCTAACATCATAATGACAGGATCAAATTCACACATAACAATATTAACTTTCAATGTAAATGGACTGAATGCTCCAATTAAAAGACACAGACTGGCAAATTGGATAAAGAGTCAAGACCCATCAGTGTGCTGTATTCAGGAAACCCATCTCACATGCAGAGACACACATAGGCTCAAAATAAAAGGATGGAGGAAGATCTACCAAGTAAATGGAAAACAAAAAAAGGCAGGGGTTGCAATCCTAGTCTCTGATAAAACAGACTTTAAACCAACAAAGATCAAAAGAGACAAAGAAGGCCATTACATAATGGTAAAGGGATCAATTCAGCAAGAAGAGCTAACTATCCTAAATATATATGCACCCAATACAGGAGCACCCAGATTCATAAAGCAAGTCCTGAGTGACCTACAAAGAGACTTAGACTCCCACACATTAATAATGGGAGGCTTTAACACCCCACTGTCAACATTAGACAGATCAACGAGACAGAAAGTCAACAAGGATACCCAGGAATTGAACTCAGCTCTGCACCAAGCAGACCTAATAGACACCTACAGAACTCTCCACCCCAAATCAACAGAATATACATTTTTTTCAGCACCACACCACACCTATTCCAAAATTGACCACATACTTGGAAGTAAAGCTCTCCTCAGCAAATGTAAAAGAACAGAAATTATAACAAACTATCTCTCAGACCACAGTGCAATCAAACTAGAACTCAGGATTAAGAAACTCACTCAAAACTGCTCAACTACATGAAAACTGAACAACCTGCTCCTCAATGACTACTGGGTACATCACGACATGAAGGCAGAAATAAAGATGTTCTTTGAAACCAACAAGAACAAAGACTCAACATACCAGAATCTCTGGGACACATTCAAAGCAGTGTGTAGAGGGAAATTTATAGCACTAAATGCCCACAAGAGAAAGCAGGAAAGATCCAAAATTGACAGCCTAACATCACAATTAAAAGAACTAGAAAAGCAAGAGCCAACACATTCAAAAGCTAGCAGAAGGCAAGAAATAACTAAAATCAGAGCAGAACTGAAGGAAATAGAGACATAAAAAACCCTTCAAAAAATTAATGAATCCAGGAGCTGGTTTTTTGAAAGGATCAACAAAATTGATAGACCGCTAGCAAGACTAATAAAAAAAGACAGAAGAATCAAATAGACGCAATAAAAAATGATAAAGGGGATATCACTACCGATCCCACAGAAATACAAACTACCATCAGAGAATACTACAAACACCTCTATGCAAATAAACTAGAAAATCTGGAAGAAATGGATAAATTCCTGGACACATACACTCTCCCAAGACTAAAGCAGGAAGAAGTTGAATCTCTGAATAGACCAATAACAGGATCTGAAATTGTGGCAATAATCAATAGCTTACCAACCAAAAAGAGTCCAGGACCAGATGGATTCACAGCCGAATTCTACCAGAGGTACAAGGAGGAACTGGTACCATTCCTTCTGAAACTATTCCAATCAATAGAAAAAGAGGGAATCCTCCCTAGCTCATTTTATGAGGCCAGCATCATCCTGATACCAAAGCCGGGCAGAGACACAACCAAAAAAGAGAATTTTAGACCAATATCCTTGATGACATTGATGCAAAAATCCTCAATAAAATACTGGCAAACTGAATCCAGCAGCACATCAAAAAGCTTATCCACCATGATCAAGTGGGCTTCATCCCTGGGATGCAAGGCTGGTTCAATATACACAAATCAATAAATGTAATCCAGCATATAAACAGAACCAAAGACAAAAACCATATGATTATCTCAATAGATGCAGAAAAAGCCTTTGACAAAATTCAACAACACTTCATGCTAAAAACTCTCAATACATTAGGTATTGATGGGACGTATCTCAAAATAATTAGAGCTATCTATGACAAACCCACAGCCAATATCATACTGAATGGGCAAAAACTGGAAGCATTCCCTTTGAAAATTGGGCACAAGACAGGGATGCCCTCTCTCACCACTCCTATTCAACATAGTGTTGGAAGTTCTGGCCAGGGCAATTAGGCAGGAGAAGGAAATAAAGGGTATTCAATTAGGAAAAGAGGAAGTCAAATTGTCCCTGTTTGCAGATGACATGATTGTATATCTAGAAAACCCCATTGTCTCAGCTCAAAATCTCCTTAAGCTGATAAGCAACTTCAGCAAAGTCTCAGGATACAAAATCAATGTACAAAAATCACAAGCATTCTTATACACCAATAACAGACAAACAGAGAGCCAAATCATGAGTGAACTCCCATTCACAATTGCTTCAAAGAGAATAAAATACCTAGGAGTCCACCTTACAAGGGATGTGAAGGACCTCTTCAAGGAGAACTACAAACCACTGCTCAATGAAATTAAAGAGGATACAAACAAATGGAAGAACATTCCATGCTCACGGATAGGAAGAATCAATATCGTGAAAATGGCCATACTGCCCAAGGTAATTTATAGATTCAATGCCATCCCCATCAACCTACCAATGACTTTCTTCACAGAATTGGAAAAAACTACTTTAAAGTTCATATGGAACCAAAAAAGAGCCCGCATCACCAAGTCAATCCTAAGCCAAAAGAACAAAGCTGGAGGCATCATGCTACCTGACTTCAAACTATACTACAAGGCTACAGTAACCAAAACAGCATGGTACTGGTACCAAAACAGAGATATAGATCAATGGAACAGAACAGAGCCCTCAGAAATAACGCCACGTATCTACAACTATCTGATCTTTGACAAACCTGAGAAAAACAAGCAATGGGGAAAGCATTCCCTATTTAATAAATGGTGCTGGGAAAACTGGCTAGCCATATGTAGAAAGCTGAAACTGGATCCCTTCCTTACACCTTATACAAAAATCAATTCAAGATGGATTAAAGACTTAAACGTTAGACCTAAAACCATAAAAAGCCTAGAAGAAAACCTAGGCATTACCATTTAGGACATAGGCATGGACAAGGACTTCATGTCTAAAACACCAAAAGCAATGGCAACAAAAGCCAAAATTGACAAATGGGACCTAATTAAACTCAAGGGCTTCTGTACAGCAAAAGAAACTACCATCAGAGTGAACAGGCAACCTACAAAATGGGAGAAAATTTTCACAACCTACTCATCTGACAAAGGGCTAATATCCAGAATCTACAATGAACTCAAACAAATTTACAAGAAAAAAACAAACAACCCCATCAAAAAGTGGGCGAAGGACATGAACAGACACTTCTCAAAAGAAGACATTTATGCAGCCAAAAAACACATGAAAAAATGCTCACCATCACTGGCCATCAGAGAAATGCAAATCAAAACCACAATGAGATACCATCTCACACCAGTTAGAATGGCAATCATTAAAAAGTCAGGAAACAACAGGTGCTGGAGAGATGTGGAGAAATAGGAACACTTTTACACTGCTGGTGGGACTGTAAACTAGTTCAACCATTGTGGAAGTCAGTGTGGCAATTCCTCAGGGATCTAGAACTAGAAATACCGTTTGACCCAGCCATCCCATTACTGGCTATATACCCAAAGGACTATAAATCATGCTGCTATAAAGACACATGCACACATACGTTTATTGCGGCATTATTCACAATAGCAAAGACTTGGAACCAACCCAAATGTCCAACAATGATAAACTGGATTAAGAAAATGTGGCACATATACACCATGGAATACTATGCAGCCATAAAAATGATGAGTTCATGTCCTTTGTAGGGACATGGATGAAATTGCAAATCATCATTCTCAGTAAACTATCGCAAGAACAAAAAACCAAACACCGCATATTTTCACTCATAGGTGGGAATTGAACAATGAGAACACATGGACACAGGAAGGGGAACATCACACTCTGGGGCCTGTTGTGGGGTGGGGGGAGGGGGGAGGGATAGCATTGGGAGATATACCTAATGCTAGATGAGTTAGTGGGTGCAGCGCACCAGCATGGCACATGTATACATATGTAACTAACCTGCACATTGTGCACATTTACCCTAAAACTTAAAGTATAATAATAATAAATAAATAAATTTAAAAAAAGATTCTGTCTCAAACAAAACAAAAAAAAAGAAAATACTATAAACCTAAAACAATCACACAAATAACATAACAAATAGTTATAGCTAGTAAGTCAACAAAATAAATGAAAAATTGTTTCATAAAAATATAAATTAATCTAAAAGAAGGCATAAAAAAGGACATATTGAACAAATGGAAAACAAATAGCAAGTTAATGGCTTTAAACCTGATTGTATTAAACATCACATTAAATTTAAATGGTCTGTACCACCCCAATTAAAACAAAGAGGTAGTCTGACTGGATTAAAATAAGGAAGACCTACCTACATGCTGCCAAAAGGAAACTAAATATAAAAATCGAAATAAATCAAAGTTGCAGTGAGCCGAGATTGCACCACAGCACTCCAGCCTGGGAGACAGAGCGAGACTCCATCTCAAAAAATAAAATAAACAAAACAAAACAAAATAAAAAAAACAAAAAGGCATGAAAGTAAGTAGAAAGATGCAACCCGTGAGGAGAAAAATTAATCAATGAAAACCAATCTAGACATGACAGACAAGCTAAAATTAGCCAACAAGAACAACAGTACAGTTATTGTAACCATATCCTATGTTCAAAGGCTAAAGACTAAAAATGAGGAGTAAAAACATGGAAAAAATAAAAGTGATCCAAAATGGACCTCTAGATATGAGAACAACATTGTATGAGATTTCTTTAAAAAATGTAATGGTTGGGAATTGGAGCATATTAGGTCTATCAGAAGAAAAGATCAATGAACTTGAAGACACAGCACAACAAATTACCCAAACAGAAGAAAAAAGGCTCAAATAAATTTACAGAACATGAGTGATAAGTATTTTAAGTGGTCCAATATACGGTAATTGAAGTCTCTGTAGTAAGAGAGAAGAGCGATAAAAATAAACATTGGCTAAAATATATAGTCCATGATAGCATTAATCAAAAATAGCTCAAGTGATTACATTAATATTAGACAGATTTCAGAGCAAAAAATGCTGCTAAGTGCGTGATAATCCATCCTAAATGTTTATGAGCCTAATAGCACAGCTTTGCAAATATGAAGCATAAACAAATAAAACTGCAGGAGAAATAGACAAATTTACCACTTGTTGCCATATATTTCAACATCTTTCTCTATAGTTAATAAAAAAAAAAAAAGCTTATTCAAGCATTGAATGACACTATCAACAATATTTATGAAATTCACATGTATAGAGTGTTCCACCTAACAACAGTAGAATAGATACTAGAAGTGCATGCAGACATTTATGAAAATAGGCTACATCCTATTCTATAAAATAACAGTAAGTTTAAGGATTCAAATAAAACAAAACATAATATCTGACAGCAACAAAATTAAATACATTTTTAAAAAAGAAATACACACAGATAACTATCTGGGGAATCTCAAAACATTTGAAAACTAAATGCCAAATGTTTTTTAAAAAGTCAAAAAAGAAATGAAAAATTGCAAAGTATTTTGAACTAAATGAACATGAAAACAAAATAGGGCCGGGCGCGGTGGCTCACGCCTGTAATCCCAGCACTTTGGAAGGCCGAGGCAGGCAGATCATGAGGTCAGGAAATCGAGACCATACCGGCTAACGCAGTGAAATCCCGTCTCTACTAAAAATACAAAAAATTAGCCGGGCATGGTGGCAGGTACCTGTAGTCCCAGCTACTCGGGAGGCTGAGGCAGGAGAATGGTGTGAACCCGGGGGCAGAGCATGCAGTGAGCTAAGATCGCGTCACTGTACTCCAGCCTGGGTAAAAGAGTGAGACTCCGCCTCAAAAAAAAAAAAAAACCCAAAATATGTATATATACACATATATATATGTATATATGAGATTTTAGCAAAAACTACTTAAATAAAACTTCTTTAGTTAGAAAAGACAAAGATCTGAAACAAATGACTTAAAACACTAAAAAACAAAAAAAACCCTTTAAATCCAAAATAAAGGAAGTAATAAATATATAAGTGCAAATCACGGAAATAGAAATCAAAAAAATAAGAAAATTAATAAAATCAAAAGCTGGTTATTTAAGATCAGTAATATGGATAAACCTCTAACCAGTTGCATGATTATACAAAAAACAATTGAACTTCTATATAATAAAGATCATAAATAAATCCTAAAAATTTTATGTACAATGTAATTGAAACATAAAAAGGTATGACAAATATGATAAAAACATGCAAAACACAATCACAAAATCAAACATAAAATAGCTGGAAAGATTTAGAGAAATTTAAATAAATTGAGAAATATACTATGCTCATGGAACAGAAGACTCAAGATTATTAAGATGTTGATTTTCCCAAATATTTTTATAAATTCATTGCAATCACAGTCAAAATGTCGTCAGGCACTTTTTGGTAGAAATAAGTCAATTCAATATATATATATATAGAGAGAGAAATGCAAATAAAGTAAAATTGTCTAAACAAAATTGAAAAAAGAACAAAGTTGAGGCAGTAGCCCTAATTGATTTCAACATATATTGAAAAGCAACAGTAATTTATGATGCTAATAACAGTGTTTCATTTTAATGCAAACAACATTATGCAAATAACAGTATGTTATTTTGCATTAAAATTTAACAAATGGGTCAAAGGTAAAAAATAGAGTCCAGATATAAACCTATATTTATATGGTCAACCGACTTTGGAGAAAGGTGTAAATACATTTCAGTGGGAAGATAATACTTTTTTCTGAAAATTGTGCTGGGGTAATTGGAAAGCCACATGCAACTTTAATTTATAGTGGGTGTCTTATACACTAATTAACTAAAAATTGAAACATTTAGAGGTATACGTAAAACCGTAAAACTAACAGAAGAGTAAATTTAGGCTATGCATAGTGGTTTATGCCTGTAATTCCCACAGTTTGAGCACTTTAGGAGGCCAAGGAGAGAGAACCACTTGAGCCCAGGAGTTCAAGACTAGCCTGAACAACAACAACAACAAAAAGTGGGGGGGAACCCTGTCTCTATTTCAAAAAAAAAAAATAGCTAAGTTTTCTGGGTGTATTAGTCCCTTCTGCTGCTATGAAGAAAAATACCCGAGTAATTTATAGAGGAAATTTATAGAGGAAAGAAGTTTAATTGATAGAGGTGATTGATAGAGGTAAGAGGTTTAATTGACTCACAGTTCTGCATGGCCGGGGAGGCCTCAGGAAACTTACAATCAAAGCAGAAGTGGAAGCAAACACGTCCTTTACATGGCGGCAGGACAGAGGAGTGCTAAGTGAAGCGGCGAAAAGCCCCTTATAAAACCATCAGATCGGCCAGGCGCGGTGGCTCACGCCTGTAATCCCAGCACTTTGGGAGGCCGAGGTAGGCAGATCACGAGGTCAGGAGATTGAGACAAGCCTGGCCAACATGGCGAAACCGCGTCTCTATTAAAAGTACAAAAATTAGCCGGGCGTGGTGGCGCGTGACTGTAATCCCAGCTACTCCAGAGTCTGAGGCAGCGAGAGGTGACAGCGTGCTGGCAGCCTCGCTTGCTCTCGGCGCCTCCTCGGCCTCGGCGCCCACTCTGGCCACGCTTGAAGAGCCCTTCAGCCTGCTGCTGCACTGTGGGAGCCCGTTCCTGGGCTGGCAGAGGCCGGAGCCGGCTCCCTCAGCTTGCAGGGAGGTGTGGAGGGAAAGGCGTGGTCGGGAACTGGGTCTGCATGTGGCGCTTGTGGGCCAGCGCGAGTTCCGGGTGGGCGTGGGCTCGGCGGGCCCCACACTGGGAGCCGCCAGCCAGCACCGCGGGCCCCAGGCAGTGAGGGGCTTAGCACTTGGGCCAGCAGCTGCGGAGGGTGCACCGGGTCCCCCAGCAGTGCCGGCCCGCTGGCGCTGCGCTGGAATTCTCGCAGGGCCTCAGCTGCCTCCCTGCCCAGCAGGGCTCAGGACCTGCAGCCCGCCATGCCTAAGCCTCCACACTATGGTGGGCTCCTGCACTGCCCGAGCCTCCCGGACGAGCGCCGCCCCCTGCTCCGCAGCTGCCGGTCCCATCTACCGCCCAAGGGCTGAGGAGTGCGGACATACTGTATGGGACTGGCGGGCAGCTCCACCTGCAGTCCCCCTGCGGGATCCAGTAAGTGAAGCCAGCTGGGTTCCTGAGTCTAGTGGGGACTTGGAGAACCTTAATGTCTAGTTAAGGGATTGTACATACACCAATCAGCACTCTGTGTCTAGTTCAAGGTTTGTAAATGCACCAATCAGCACCCTGTGTCTGGCTCAAGGTTTGTAAATGCACCAGTCAGTGCTCTGTGTCTACCTAATCTAGTGGGGACTTGCAGAACTTTTGTGTCTAGCTCAGGGATTATAAATGCACCAATCAGCACCCTGTCAAAACTGACTGATCAGCTCTCTGTTAAACAGACCAATCAGCTCTCTGTAAAATGGGCCAATCTATAGGATGTGGGTGGGGTCAGATAAGGGAATAAAAACAGGCTGCCTGAGCCAGCAGTAGCAACTCCCTTGGGTTACCTTCCACATCATGGAGGCTTTGTTCTTTCACTCTTTGCAACAAATCTTGCTGCTGCTCACTCTTTGGGTCCACACTGCCTTTATGAGCTGTAATACTCACTGCGAAGGTCTGCAGCTTCACTCCTGAGGCCAGCAAGACCATGAACCTGCCAGGAGGAATGAACAACTCCAGACGGGAGGAATGAACAACTCCAGATGAACTGCCTTAAGAGCTGTAACACTCACCGCAAAGGTCTGCAGCTTCACTCCTGAAGCCAGGGAGACCATGAACCCACCAGAAGGAAGAAACTCCGAATACGTCCAAACATCAGAAGGAACAAACTCCGGACACACCATCTTTAAGAACTGTAACACTCACCATGAGGGTCTGTGGCTTCACTCTTGAAGTAAGTGAGACCAAGAACCCACCAACTCTGGACACAGCAGGAGAATCTCTTGAACCAGGGAGTTGGAGGTTGCATTGCAGTGAGCTGAGATCGTGCCACTGCACTCCAGCCTGGCTACAGAGCAAAACTCCGTCTAAACAAACAAACAAAAAAACCATGCGATCTCATGAAAACTCAATATCATGTTAACAGTATGGGAGAACCACCCCCCTGATTGTATCACCTCTCATGAGGTCCCTACCCCAATATGTGGTGATTACAATTCAGGCTGAGATGTTGGGTGGGGACACAGCCAAACCATATCACTGGGTGTGCACCTGTGGTTCCAGCTACTTGGGAGGCTGAGATAGAAGGATTGCTTCAGCCCAGGAAATCAAGGCTTCAGTGAGCTATGATCATGCCACCGCACTCCAGCCTGGTCAACAGAGTGAGACCATATTTCAAAAAACTTCATTTTGGAGCAAATATTTTAGAATTTTGATGAAATAAGATTTCTTAGATGCAACAAGAAAAATACTATCCACAAAAGAATAACTTAATAAATTGGGTTTTATCAAAATTAAAAACTTCTGTTTGCAAAGCATTATTCAGCATTATTCTAAGCACTGTTAATAGAATGAGAAAACAAGTCATAGAATGTGAGGAATTATTTTTAAAACATATATACAATAAAGGACTTGTATCTAAAATATATAAGAAATTCTCAAAATTCAACAATAAAGAACCACAAAATCCAATTAAAAACTGGTAAGTTATTTGAACAGACACTTGACCAAATAAGAGGTGTAATGACAAATGAGCCCATGAAAAGCCCATCATTAGTCATTAGGAAAATACAAACTAAAAATATGATGTCATACTATTTCACTCCTAATAGGATGGCTAAAATGTAAAAGAGTGACGGTAGCAAGTTTGGGAAGATGTAAAGAAACTGGAAGTCTCATACACTGGTGGTAAAGATGTAAAATTGTGCAATTATTTGAAAATAATTCAGCATTCCCCAAAAGTTAAACATGTTTCTACCATACGATGTAGCCACTGCACTCCTATCTAATTATCTCCCCTGCAAATGAAAACATATGCTTATTCAAAGATTGTGCATGAATGTTCATGGAAACTTTATATGTAATAATTTCTAGCTGGAAACAGCCCATATGTTCAAGATCACATGAATGGATGAATGAATAGTGGTCCATCCATACAGTGGAATGACATAAAAGGAATCGATGATTAATATATAAATCTGGATTAATCTAAAAATAATCATGCTGACTAAAAAACACTAACAAAAACTAGAAAATACATTGTATATAATTATATTTATATAAGAATTACAAAATAAATTTATTTTGTAGCGATAGGTGATTATACATGGGCATGAGAAAACTTTTGGAAATGATATGTGATGATTTTATAGATGTATACATGCCACAATTTATCAAACTATAACCTTTAAATTTATATATTTTAATGTTTCTCATTTATAGCTCAATAAAAATGTTAATGTTAACAATACGTTTAGCTGCATAAAGACAAAACCAACTGCAAAAACAGGAATAGCAAAAATAGTATACTTAAAAGTTGATGGCTCTGAACCTTAAATTCCCATCAAATTAGTTGTATAACCCTGGTGATGTCACTCATTTATTTTCAATACAGTTTGTTAAGACTCTTTAGGTGATTTGTCCTGTAGAGTCCTTTATTTTGCAGAAGAGGAAAGGAGAGTTTAGGAGAGAGTTACCGGCTGAAATTATTTTTATCCTCTCAAATATTTTAAACTATTAAATGTCTTTATCAGCTATTAAGTATGATTACATAAAATGTTAAATAGAAGATGTTTGGGCTACCATGTTTGCTGACTTAATTACCACCATACTAATCTCCAGAAAAGTATAATAATTTTTTAGAAGTCTTCCAAATCACTGATTAAGACTCATCTTTCCTAAACAGTACAAAGGACTGGTGATGATTGAATGATCATAGACACCCCAAATTCCTCCTACCTATGTAAGGCAGACTTGAGTGGTTTTCTTAAACCTAGGCCTCACTCCAGTTTCTAACTGGCACTGTATTGATTCAGCCACAATTTCACCAAGTCTTAGATTGGGTTTTCTTCAAAGAATAAAAACTGTGTACCAATACCCAAAGTTGCTCTGTGCATGCATTACTATTTAATATTTGTAGGATAGTCCTCTCTGTTAAACCCAGCTGGCTATCTTGCATCTGTCCCCTTTTCCATAGAGAGTGTATTTGTGTGTGTGTGTGTGTATGTGTGAGAGAGAGAGATACAACACTGATCTGAAGAGGGATTTAATGTAATATGTGGGGAGTAGAACTTATGAAAAGTAATTCATTTGTGGCAATGAAAGAATTCCTCTCTTAGAGCTTATGGCAAAGCACTTTGAAATATTAAGTACATTGTTAGAGGGCACATAAACAAAATTAAAACACAGACATAAAAAAGATTACAACACTGGGCTAAATGGAATGAGAATAGAAAAAAAATCTTAAAATTAGGAATGTGCTATGCTAAGTATATCACATGATTCTAAGATAATTAGAATTGCACATTACACTGGAGGTATTTGTTTTCTATAAAACTGTCCGCAATAGCTCATTTCAAAGCATTATGAACATATATTTCCCTTCTAAACCTGCCTATCTATTAAGCATACAAGTAATGAATTGAAAATCTACACATATGGGAAACCTTTTAATTATACACAGTAATACAAACATGAAACCAGAGAATGGATTTTAAGAATCCATTTAGAAATAACATGTCTACCTTTTCAAAGTGAAACTGTGAGGTTATGTATTTTCCTGAGAGAGCTCCTTTCTCATTGGTTTAATAGTAATGGTGTTTCACTTTTTGTGTCTTAAGCCTTTCTTTTGATGAAAAGAATTCCCATACATTTTTCAAGTATTCTCCTATTTAAAGGATAGTCATAATGTTTACAGTTATCTATCCTATATTAGGTAGGCATTTCACAATAGAAATAATAAATTATGTTTCAGTTTTACTGCTGATATAATAACTATCTTTTTTGGAAGAAGTTTGGTCTGTGTATTTTTTTTTTTTTTTTTAGAGGGAGTCTCACTCTGTCACCAGGCTGGAGTCACAGTGGCGTGATCTCAGCTCACTGCAACCTCTACCTCCCAGGTTCAAGCGATTATCCTGCCTCAGCCTACCAAGTAGCTGGGACTACAGGTGCCTGCTGCCATGCCCAGCTAATTATTTTTTGTATTTTTAGTAGAGACAGGGTTTCACCATGTTGGCCAGGATGGTCTCGATCTCCTGACCTCGTGATCTGCCCACCTTGGCCCCCAAAGTGCTGGGATTACAGGAGTGAGCCACCACGCCCAGTCTGGTGTGTTTTGTTTGTTTGGTTTTGTTTTATTTTGCAAAATGGCTCTAGGAAATAATAGAAAATACAAAATTGTACTTGGAGAAATTAAACAGGGCTCCCGACAATTTGAGAAAATATATGCAGTGGGAATTCTATATATTTGTAAATCAATATTAATAACATAACCTATACATACTCATTAAAAAACGAGAGGCATTTAGAAATAGACATATTCCTCCCTGAATTATTTGCTTCATAGCATCAGTTCTGTATTCCTGTTCCAGTGCCTTTAAAATATCCTAAAACTCTCCCCTTTTTTTTTGTAACCAATTAGATAGTATGTATAAATAAATCCATCATCTGAGAAACATGTAAATAGGTACAACAAAATATATATATTATATATACACATATATATGTATATATGTGTAAACAAATGCCCCAAAACTATAATTTATAATAGAAAAATGTAAGATTGAAGGGTGGGATAGGGTTAATGGTAATGAGAAGCAGACCTCATGAGATTTTGCTAGACATAGATTTCTATCAAAGTAAATTTTGGTATCTTGAAATATCTACTTAGTAATGTTTTGATTAAATACATGAGATCTGGGGTTATAGGTGGGCCATGAAACAGGAACATCTGTACCATATATTTAAGTGGAAACTGAGTTTCACATTACATATGGAAGTAAAGGTTGTGTTTTTAAAAAAATAGGGGACTCACAAATATGCAATATTAAACTTGAATATTTCACCTTCTTACAAGGAGTTTGCCTACATTAAGATGGAGTACAGAAGAAAAGAGAGGTTACAAGGTACACTGATGAACTATGTGAAATAACGTTAGTCAGATATTGGTCAACAGGCAGCACAGAATGATGTCGGCTGGGGAAAGATAATGTAAAGAAAAAAGAGACCTATAATAACATGAATTTACTGAACAGAGATAATTTCCAGGCTAAGCCAGGGTAGTCAAACCAAACAGAGCACAGCAGTTTTGTTGAGTAAAAAAGACAGAGTTTGGACTGTGAAAAAGCCATGTCAGCTAGAAATTGAGGAGCAAACACAAGAGAAACTTCTTAGAGAGCTCCAGAGACTGCAGTGTCGTCTCCTTGAATTCTACCCTAAGCATTTTTCTGCACATGCATGGGAAGTACCTAAGACTTGAGAAAGAAACATCAGAAACTAATAAACAAAACAATCTGCAGAGTTTACACAGGTTTAGTAAAGTTGATGCTTCTACTAGTCCAAGTAGAAAGATCCCTTAATGCAGGGAGCAATGGGTATAATCTTCAGAAAAGCCAGGCATTTGAGACCAGCCTGGTCCAACGTGGTGAAACCCTGTCTCTACTAAAAACACAAATATTAGCCAGGCGCAGTGGCAGGCGCCTATAATCCCAGCTACTTGGGAGGCTGAGGCAGGAGAATTGCTTGAGCTCGGGTGTTGGAGGTTGCGGTGAGCCGAGATCGCGTAACTGCAATCCAGCCTTTGTGACAGAGCAAGACTCCGTCTCAAAAAAAAAAAAAAAAAAAAAAAAAGACAAGAAAAGAAAAGCATCAATAGTAAAGTCATGTTATCTTACCTGTACTACACTAACAAAATTAGAGGTAAGACTTCAAAAAATGTAAACTGAATCCAAATAATATAAACACACCAAGGAACAAACACCAGCAATATTTAAAGAAATATGGCAAAATCCAGAAAACAAATGTAAGCAGCAGGAAAACAAAACTCGTAACAAGGAAATGTAATAGTCAATAGAAACAGACCAAATATGATAGAGATAAGTAAACCTGCAGACCAGCATATTAAAACATGAATATTTATGTAAATATTATGAATATTTTCTATATGTTCAAACAGATAGATGAAAACATGGACAGCAATCCAAATAGAGCTTCTAAAAATGGAAAATATATTATTTGCAATGAAAACCATATAGTATGAAATTACCAGCAGATTAGATAATGTAGAACAAAAGTGTAGAGGACTTAAAAGACAGATAACAATAGGAACTATTCAAATGAATGAATGAGAAAAAAAGTGAGCATGGTTTTAGTGAGTGGCAGAAAAACATGGAGTGGACAGACATATATGTAAATAGAATTCTAAGAAAAGAGAAAATGAGGCAGAAAATATATTTGAAGATACAGTGACCAAATTTTTTATTTTTCCAAATTTGTTAAGAATTAATCCCCATACCCAAGATACTTAATAAACCTTGAACAGAAGAGACATGAAGAAAACCACAGGAAAATATATTATAGTCAATTTCTATAACATCCCAAGACACCAACAAAACATTAATAAATAATAGTCTTGAGGCCGGTGCAGTGGCTCATGTCTGTAATCCCAGCACTTTTGAGAGGCTGAGGCAGGTAGATTGCCTGAGCCCAGGAGTTCTAGGTCAGCCTGGGCAACATGGAAAAACTCTATCCTCTACAAAAAACACAAAAATTAACCGGTGTGGTGGCGCATGTCTGTAGTCCCAGCTATTAGGGAGGCTGATGTGGGAGGATTGCTTGAGCCTGAGAGGTTGAGGCTGCAGTGAGCTGTGATCTGGCCACTGCACTCCAGCCTGGGTGACAGAGTGAGATCCTGTCTCAAAAAAATAAATAAATAAAAGAGAAATTAAAGAAATAAATAAAGAATAACCTTAAAAGCCCACAGTAGCAAAAATAAATATCACATACATAGGAAGAAATAAAGAACAGCAGATTTGCCACTAAAAACCATGCAAGCCAGTATGCAATGGAGTGACATTTTAAAAATAGTAAGATATTTTTATCTAAAAAGATTCTGTCAAAAATAAACAGGAAATATATATTCTTCAGAATATAAATGCTGAGAAAATTTATGATCATAAGACCAATATTATTTTAAAAACACTAATGGAAGTCCTATTTTAAAGAAGAAAAACATATACTATATGGAAATTTAAATGTATCATGATTAAATAAGTGCTCAGAATAAAAAGTAGATAGACTAAAGATTGTCCTCAGGAGAGAAATTGAGATAAAATTTGCGAGGTGTTTATGTAGCAGTAAACGTCTTGAATGATATGAAAAAGGGTTTGAACTGTGAATACCATGATCATGGAATCCTGTAATCAACCTTTTGGGTAAAATATATAAGTATTTTTTTCCCATGGACATATTTCAATTCACATGTAACTTAAGTATTTCTGAGTGCATATTATCTTACTTACAGTAAATCTCAGTCTTTGCAAAGAAGAATTTTATATTGGGACACAGATAAAGATACATATCCACCTTTCCTGTTCTTTCTTCTAATTTCTGTCGCACACTCAAAAAGAATATATTTTGCTCAGCTTGTATAGAAGAGAGGATAAATAGAATTACAGGACAAAATACAAGTGAAGAAAACATTGGCAATATAACTAACAGTTAAGAAATGGAGGGAAGGTCTAAGTGAGAGGAATTATAAGTTGCTATGGTTTGAATGTGTTCCCCCAAGTTCATGTGTTCGAAACAACATATTTGTAAAATAAAAAGGAATTAAAAGAAGAAGAAAAAAATTCCTAAATCATTCCAGGAATGGTACTATTTTGATATGCTCTCAAGAATCCAGCATTTTAGGCATGTTTATATAATTGTGAACATTTGATATACAACATTTTATTTTCTGGCTTCTCTTTAAAATTATTGTATCATAGATTTTGAAGTTAATTTATATAATGTATACATATTATGAAGTATTGGATTATATTACATTCAGTTAATACTTCATCATTTGATTAGCTAATTCTTTTTATTTTACTAATTTGTTCTCCTGGTCATTTACATTTCTCTTAAGAGTGAATATAAATGATTAAAACATAAATATATGAGTACAAAGAGGAGGAGTGTGTACATCTTCAGTAAATATCTGCTCATCATTCATTTTACAAGTTAGTTAGATTTTTATCTCCTTGGAAGGCAGAGAACAGACCAAGAGGTGTGAGGAATAACACTGGTCAATTTTTATGGAAGGGAGAAGAAATACATTGTAATAAGCTCCTTCACCTCTTAAGAAGCCTTAGCTATGCTCCTCTTGTGACTTTTTATAGCAGAGGTTTAAATAGATCCAGTCCAATCTTTAGAAGCCCAGCAAGACATTCTCCTTTGTTACCGGTGTTCTGGGATGTTCTCTTCAAATATCTGAACTATAGACTCATCATGAGTCACTATTAGAATTGAATCCTTTTCCTTTCTTCTCCTTCATTTCTTTCTTAGGGATCTAGGTAACTGCACCAAAATGGATCCTCACTGCTCGTTGACAGACCAACTGAGTGCTTTCCACATTTGTAAGATCTGGAATATTCTTCTTTCCATTGTGCTTCTTCCCATCTATATCCAGTCCCATCTTATTGAAGACACCACTTCCGATCATTGCTGCACTCTATCCTGACCTTCTCTTGGATAATCTATTCTGCCACGATGTAGGGTATCTGCTCAAAATTGGCATTTAATGGGGTTGATGGGAAAAACAAGCAAAAGTCAGAAGGCTTTGCAATGAATTAATCAGAGATCTGCAACAATAATATTAAAGTAAGCATGAGAAAGTCAGAGAGAGAGAGAGAAATCTTTACATCATAATAACTAACAGATTCTTATATCATCTAACAGGATCTTATTTAACAGATTCTTTTAACATCATAAAAACTAACAGATGAACCAGTGTGATAGTTTTCAACAGATCTGTGGTAGATACACTAGTTGATCATAATCAGTTTTTGTGTGTCACATTTAATTTGATGTTTATGATATACTTTTGTCTTCATTAGAACAGATCATTAAACACGCTATTTTTGTTTTCATTCTCTTGAATTCCCTTATTTATTTATTTATGCCTAATAAAGAATCAAGGAGAAATTTCAGAGCCCAAATTTCGCCTCCGAGATGCTGAGCAGAATGTTATGCATGTCAATGGCTTTGATTAAGACGGTTGCTGATAAATTAACCTTCCTGATCAAAACCTGTTGATCACAAGCTTTTTTTTTTCTATTGAAGAAAAAACTGTCTCACAAGGAAATGGACTTTTCCAAGGTCACACAAGCAACTTAAGTTCTTATTTTTTTTCTCCTAGCTTTTTGAAGTCTCTTTACTCCCCCTTCATGCCACATTATTGGGATCTAATTCAGAACATTCTGTATAAAGACGGGCATTTCAAACCCATGGCAATCCCCTCTGTGCCTTTCTTTCTATAAAATTATTAAATGATTATATCTTCATTTCTTTCAAAGAGCAAAATCATTGCTCTTTTCCAGGGTCTTTTCATTTATTCTTGATGTGTCTTTTGTAGCTTCCATTAGCTTTTCCAGATGCTGCAAACATGAGAAAACTTTGCAAATAGTTCACATTAATGATGAGCCATCGGTGCTTTTCAGCTACTTTTAAGAATAATATCCTTTAGTGTGATTTTCAGCTACTTTTAAGAGTAATATTCTTTGGAAACAGAGACTTCAACTTCCAATAGTGAGCAATTGGAGGTTACAAGATCCATAAGTGAATATTATAATGTATTTTTCAAAAATCACATCAAAAAAATTCTCAACATCTGATTAACCTAAGTATTTAATTAGTTTTGAAAATATGATAGAGAAAAATAGTTAACACATGGAATTTTCTGACAGATAATCTATTAACTACAGAAATTTTTATTGATGCCCCTATAGCTATGGATGATGAACCATTTACCAAATCTAAAGTCTATATGACTTCACAGGAGCAGATGGCAAACAGTGTCTCGGTTGAGATAATTTCTGCTTCCCTAACAAAATTTATTTTATTAAAAAAGATAATTATTTAGGATTCTGCTGTAGCATTTTAAGATTTTAAACAAGATTAAGAAATATGCTTATTTTAGGCTGTGAATATGGCTTGCTATTTCAGGCACACTGTATTATTTTAATTATAATTCAGCACCAAACATAAAATAATATAGTTTAGATAAGGAAAACCAAGGTGATTTTCAGAAATTAGTGTCTTGTCTCTTACTAGTTGCTAAGCAAGTTAGTTGGCCTGCCTGATGTTCTATTTATTTATTTTTACATGCATAGGAATTAAAAATGTATATAATGATAATATTTTCTGATTTAAATATTTTTATTTTAAACTGATATTCCTAATTGTTTTTAATAGTTAATTTTGTATATTTAAAAAATTATTTGTGGTAACAAATGTAAAAAATACTTATTTTTTATACTTCAATACACTAAGTGAAAATATATTCAGATTCTGTGTACTTGGAATTCAATTACAGTTTGTTTTTTAATCATTTAAATCACTGAATATGATTTGACATTACGGTAGAAATAGAAAATATAAAACTAGAGTTTAAAAACATTTTAAAAATAGAAAATAAAAAATAGATTCAAAAAAATCTTCAAAGTGATGGTCTGCTTATTTTTTTTTCTTTACTGTAGATTCTAGAGGTACATGTGCAGAAGAATATAATGAAAATGTTGCTATACATTTTTCTTCTATGTAGCGAAAATAACACAGTTTTGATATAAGTGGAAAGATAGGACAGAGAATACAAATGGTTTCTGTGAGTGCATTTATGAAATGTACTTAAATGTGTGAAATAAGTTGTGTCTACAGTTCAGATCAATGGCTTAATGGGAGTTGTTGTTTCAATAGGTTCCTGCTAAGAATGGCCTCTTTTAGGAATTGATTTTCAACCTCCACTTATATAGGACTTGAGTGGTCAAATTAAGTGAGAAAGTTCATTCTTGGCATTTGTGGGAAGGTTAGTTATGACTGTTGGTAGGAATTCTTTCTATAGGGAGTGTGACTATGAGAAGAATAACGGGAGGCCAATGAGATTCCCTGTAGAGAATGACACATGGAGGAATCTGCCTTGATATTTCTTAGCAGGAAAAAAGGAATGAGATTAAGTGGTATTGCTGCATCTTTACTATGCCCTGCATACTGTGCTTGACACATTACAAGCACATATCATTTTATTTTTCAAACCACCCATGGTGTAATTAAACAATATTATACACATTATTAATAAACAGTTTGTAGGCACTGTTGTCCAGGCACTATTATCAGAAATAATGCATTCAATACTGACAATATCTCTATGTGATCATCTAATTTAGAGACAAAGAAAAGACGACACAGCGTTAAGAAGCTTTACCAAAGAGATAGAGGTTATAAGTGTGGAACCAGAGTTTGAGCCCAAGAAAGTTGCTTACAGAATATGTGCTCATCACTACAAGCTATAATGCCTCTTCTTTAGGCACTATCATCACCCTTTTAGTAGTGGAACTAAAGTTTATAAAAGTTATGTAGTATGCCCAATGTCACACAACTCATAAGGAGGGAGAGTTGGAATTTGAACTCAAAACTGTCAGCCATTAAGCCTATTTCCTTTTCCCACCATAACTTTGCCTTGTGAATATTGAAAGAGAGTTTCAGTAGCAAGCATTATAAGGATGTGCTGAAGGAGAAAGTCATTTGGAAGTAATCTTCTGAATTTATTTATTTATTTATTCATTCATTTATTTATTTATAAGTAAGGCTGTTATTATTTTATCTTACCATATCCTGCTTTTCAAAGCTTATGACTCTTTGCAACCTCAGATACCATCTCTTGACTGCTAACTTATCATCCATATCCCATCAAGCCAAGTCTCCTCATCTCTGACACTTCCCACCATAGAAAGATCTTCTGCCTTTCATTTTAAGACCCAGCTTTTTGTGTATGTCTTTGTAAACCCATCAGCTGTTATTTAAACCCCTCCCCTCTTACCTAAGACTTACTATTTACCTAAAACTATTATTTAACATGTTAACTAAACATTTATGTATTGAGTTTTCCTATTTTTGTGCCATAGGTTCATGTCTTTTCTTCCTAATTTATTCAGCTATAAGTACAATTCTCACACTCTTTATCTACCTTAAAGTGAAAGATATTGGAAGTATGCTAGCTGGTAGAATAAGGGTTGACTTCGTTTTTAACATGGTTCTAGTGCTTGATTGTCACTCCCCTTTCTTGGAGATAATCAATGTTGATGGTACTCAGAGACAGTCTCCCCATGTTCAGTCATCAGCATTCCTGGACAAAGGCATCCTGAAATCATTTTCAGGAGAAGGCTTATTTGCCTTGTAGGTGACTTTGTTGAAATATAATTGTTACGATCTGAATGTCTGCATTCTTTCCAAATTCCTATAGTGAAACCTAATCACCGATGCAATAGTATTGAGAAGTGACACCTTTAAGGAAGTAATTAGGTCACAAGGGTAGGCCAAGTGAATGGGATTAGTGGCCTTGTAAAAGAAGCTTGAGTGAGCTTGTTTGCCCCTTTAATAATACATGGACACATAGAAACTGCCACTATAAGGAACAAGCCCTCACCAACCCTGAATTTACTGACATCTTGACCTTGGACCTTCCAGCCTCCAAAAGTGTGGGCAATAAATTTCTGTTGTTTTTAAATTACTCAGTTTAAGATAATTTGTTACAGCAGTCCAAACTGACTAAGACAAGAATCATGGGGAAATCCGAACTGACTTATGCACACACAAACACAAATAATAGACATACCCTAAAATAATTCATTTAAAAATACATAAAGAACTTGTATTTTTTATCATGAACCTAACCAGCTAAAAAGTATCTGCCTTCATTTTTTCAAAAATTTAAAAAAATTATGATAAATATCAAGGCATCAGGACCAGTTTATAGTCTGAAGTCAGCAGCATGTACCTTATATGACCTTTAACTTTTCCGTATAGTAAATTGTATATAGTTGATGAGTCATTGATCATGTTTACAGTAAGCTATATGTGTGATCGTTTTAGCAATGGTCAAAATTCAGCATGTTCACACACACACACACCTACATATCAACCCATCCGCCCACTCTGACATGCACACATTTCACCTATTTTTTAGTTGAGGCTATCAGGAACAAAAATAGATGCTTCTCTATTCTCCAGATATTCATTTTGACCATTGATTTTCCCAAGATTACTCATGAGGATTGCGAACATGAAACCAAACACTCAGCTCCGTTAATTGAGCTTTCTTTGGTTCACATCAGTTCTTCGACGTTTTTAATAGGATTGCATTAATGGAATTTTATATAGTTGGAACTGTTCAATACTTTTCTACAAAGACAAGGTGCTTCTGCCTGAAAAGGTGATTACTCTAATTGTGCTATCTATTCTTCTGTAGAATAATGCCATTTTTCCATTTAGGTGGAGTTGACATGTGTCAGGAAGCATCAATCAGCTTCCATATAAACAATCCTAAAGAAAAATTAGTATAGTTAATGTAATACTTCAGAGACATCTGGAAACATACCCATTTTGGAAATTATGGCTTTCATAATATGTTGATATTATATTATTTGTAAGTGCAACGTGTGTGTGTGTGTGTATATGTGTGTGTAAAGACAGAGGAGATTTGCCGGCTGCAGGGGCTCACGCCTGTAATCCCAGCACTTTGGAAAGCTGAGGCAGGCGGATCAACTGAGGTCGGGAGTTCGGGACTAGCCTGACCAACATGGAGAAACCCTGTCTCTACTAAAAAAAATACAAAATTAGCCAGGTGTGGTGGTGCATGACTGAAATCCCAAGTACTTCGGAGGCTGAGGCAGGAGAATCGCTTGAAACCAGGGGGCGGAGGTTGCGGTGAGCCAAGACTGCGTCATTGCACTCCAGCCTGGGCAACAAGAGCAAAACTCCGTCTCAAAAAAAAAAAAAAAAAGAAAAGAGGAGATTAGAGGGCTAGTCAAGTCCTTAACTAATATGCACACTAGTAAAGAAATGATGAAGAAAATTAATTATATGTTTCTTTGGACAGTCCTATTCTTGGCTCTCAAAGGTAGAGCACATTGGGGAAATGGAGTCAGTTTAATAAATAATGCCTTGGCTAGATCTTTCAGAAGAAACTAACAAAGGATGTTTCGGGAGAGAAAGACCAAAGCATGTAATTTCTATAACCACAGGAGATCTTTTCATTAGCCTCCTCTTTGGTTCTTAATAGTTTCCCAGATGCATCTGGGGACTGCTATAATGATTATCTCTGTACAATTGCTCTCTCTCTTTATTGATACATAGAACTTCAATCTGATTGAGTGAAGAGAAAACATTCTATCTAATCTGCATTATGTTATCACAAAGTCATTGCTGAGATAATGTTATGTTAAAATAAAATTGTATTCCAACCCCTTTTTAAGTATTTAAGTTCAGACATTTCAAATGCTACTGAAACCCTACTAATTAACTCCAAGCAACTCTTGCTTACCTGTAAGGATCAGTAAATGCTTAGGAAGAGCCAGCTACTATTGGCACTAATGAAGTATGAAATAGACTAATTTTATCGTGTTTCTTTGCCTATTTTTTCTACCACACAGGAGCAGACATGCAGAAATTGTGTCTCTCAGATACACAAAAATTAGGTAATATTCTCTCTAGTATTTTTCCTTTTCAAATCTCTTGTAACAAAATACAACCAGAAGCAGAAGCACCACAACCACCATCGCTGTCACCATCATCATCATTATCCTACACTTCTGGAGACTTGCCTCATCCAATGGTGTTTCCTTCCATTATGTTCTCTACATTGGTGTTGACTTGCGTTTTTCTCCTAAAACACACCAAGAGTTTCTCTGTATTCTTAAGATGAAAGCCAAACTATCCCATGGCACGCAAAGCCCCAAATAGTCAGACTCTTCCACATTTTTCCAGCGACAGGTGCAGTTTGATCATTGTCTTACTCTGCTTCAGCCATACTTTTTTGTTTTTCCGATTTGTACACCTGTTCCATGCTCTCTTTCTCAGGGGGCCTTCTCACATACTGTTTTTGTCTTTCTGAAAAAATCATAACTAAACTTTTCACCTAAATAAGTTATCTTAATTTTATTTAGACCTTATCTTACTTTTCACTTTCTCAGGTGTTAGTCCAAGCTGCACCATTTTGTAAGGCCCCCACCATTTCACAGACCCTGGTCAGAGTGAAACATTCCACAGGGGTTTGGGCTGTGAGAAACATCTTTCCTAACAACCTGATCACAGCCACAGGAACATCCTTTTTTATTTTTATTTTTATTTGTTTTGAGATGGAGTTTCTCTCTTGTCACCCAGGCTGGAGTGCAATGGCACGATCTCAGCTCATTGCAACCTCCGCCTCCCAGGTTCAAGCAACCCTCCTGCCTCAGTCTCCCAAGTCTCTGGGATTACAGGTGCCTGCCACCATAGCCGGCTAATTTTTGTACTTTTAGTAAACATGGGATTTCACCATGTTGGCCAAGCTGGTCTCCAACTCCTGACCTCAGATGGTCCACCTGCCTCAGCCTTCCTAAGTGTTGGGATTACAGGTGTGAGCCACAGCACCCTGCCAGGAACATCCTTATCATACCCTGCTGGGCAAAGCCCCAGCTGAAAGAACATCCCATCATATCCTGCTTGACACAGGTCCAAGGAACATCTTATCACATCCCACTGGAAAAAGGGCCAAACCATCTGATCATAGGAGCATCTTATCAATATCCTCCCAGGCAGCAAGCCATACCACCCAGACCCCTTCCACCCAGGCCTATAAATTGCTCCAGCCTGTAAGCAGCAGTGGGCTCTGGCATTAAGCTGGTCCCCCACCTCTGCAAGTTTTTGCAATAAGCCTGTATTGCCATAGAGCCACCAACTCTCTCTCTCTGAGACATTTTTTAACCCTTGCCTTCCCCTCTAACATCAGGAATAGTTACCCTTCTTAATATCATTGATATTTGTTGCAGGTCAGCAAACTGAACACTCTTTTATTATTATTGGTTATAACTATTATTGGTTATAACTAGAGTTAATTTTATATTTTATATATTGTTCCCACTACTAGATTGTCACCTTATTATATGCTCTTATGTAATCATATCACTAAATATCCATTATTTCATTAGAATTTTTATGTATTACTTGATACTTTGATTAGTTTGTATCTCTATGTATAAACCCAAGAATACATGGGTAGTTATGCATGCAAAGTTCAGTATTTGGAATGTAATACACTCATAACAAATAATAAAATACTGTAGAGCATTATTGTGTTCCAGGAAATGGCTAAGGTGGTACAAGGTTTATTTAATCTCTGAAACAAACTAGTGGCTTTTTAGGTATCACTGCCTCATTTTACAGTCAGTTGATAAAACGCCATGCCCAAAGTCCAGGAGTAAAGAATATAACCAAAATTCTTTTCCATGTCCACTATTCTAGGAAATATGCAAGTCATCACAATCTCTTCTCTGGCTTTCTCCAATTGACCCTTCCTGTCCAATCTTCCACCCAACCAAATATTCTCCTCACATTAATTCAGTCATATCACACTCTTTCTTAAAACTCTCCAAACCCATCTTTCTTACATTAGATCCCCAAATCCTTAGAATTCTTTTTCAAATAATGTCAGAATAGTCTGTAGCAAACTATTCATCTTGCAGATACACACACACACACACACACACACACACACACACTTAAGACACCAGATAATGGAAAAAAGAAGGAAAAGATTGGAGGTTTGTCAAACTTTGAAAACAAGAAAATGCACTGTCTGATAATTCCACTTACATGCTTCTTGCCTGAGTGTAGTCCAAATTGTTCTGGATGCCTTGAACTCAAGCAGAAAAATCACAGCATTCCTGGATTTCAGACTTAGAGATAAAGTTTGGAGTTGCCAGAGAAACTGGAAAATTAGTGCGAATAACTATATTATTAAATAATAATTTAACAACTAAACAATAACTTCATCTTTAAAAACTTTATTAAGTCTGAATCCACAGATGTGGGAGTCAAAAATATGAAGATAAATACCACTCAAATCCTTGCATAGCACCTGAATTATGCCTGTGCTAGAGGGAAAAAGACAATAAAGCAGACAAAAGATTAGAAGAAATAAAGGCACTACATTTCTCAAATTTGGTAAAAAAGAACCCCATAAACTTAAAAATCAAAAGAGCACAGGAAACACTAAACAGGATAAATACAAGAAGAATACATTTAGACATATTATAGCCAAAATGATGAAAAGCAAGACAAAGATAAATTTTAGAAATAATATATTTTTAATGAATTAATAAATAGTGTAGGAACAATTGGACATCAATGGACAAAATCTAAACTTTAAAACCTTACACATTATACAAAAGTTAATCCAAAATAAATCATGAATTTATTTTCTATTTTATTTTTATTTATTTATATTTCGGCTACAGGGTCTCACTTTGTCACCCAGGCTGGAGTGCAGTGGCACAATCTCAGCTCACAGCAGCCTCTACCTGCTTGGCTCAAGCAATCCTCCTACCTCAGCCCCCAAGTAGCTGGGACCACAGGCATGCGCCACCACACCCAGCTAATTTTTTTGGATCTTTTGTAGAGACAGGGTTTTGCCGTGTTGCCCAGGCCGGTCTCAAACTCCTAGCTGGTCAAGCAATCTCCTGCCTCGGCCTCCCAAAGTCCTAGGATTATAAGCGTGAGCCTCTGCCCCTGGCCTGGATCTACAGCTCCCAGCGTGAGTGACGCAGAAGACGGGTGATTTCTGCATTTCCATCTGAGCTTTGAAGAGAGCAGTGGTTCTCCCAGCACGCAGCTGGAGATCTGAGAAGGGGCAGACTGCCTCCTCAAGTGGGTCCCTGACCCCTGACCCCTGAGCAGCCTAACTGGCAGGTACCCCCCAGTAGGGGCAGACTGACACCTCACACGGCCGGGTACTCCTCTGAGACAAAACTTCCAGAGGAATGATCAGACAGCAGCATTCACGGTTCATGAAAAAACACTGTTCTGCAGACACTGCTGCTGATGCCCAGGAAAACAGGGTCTGGAGTGGACCTCTAGCAAACTCCAACAGACTTGCAGCTGAGGGTCCTGTCTGTTAGAAGGAAAACTAACAAACAGAAAGGACATCCACACCAAAAACCCATCTGTACATCACCATCATCAAAGAGCAAAAGTAGATAAAACCACAAAGATGGGGAAAAAACAGAGCAGAAAAACTGGAAACTCTAAAAAGCAGAGCACTTCTCCTCCTCCAAAGGATCGCAGTTCCTCACCAGCAATGGAACAAAGCTGGATGGAGAATGACTTTGACAAGTTGAGAGAAGGCTTCAGACGATCAAACTACAAGCTACAGGAGGAAATTCAAACCAAAGGCAAAGAAGTTAAAAACTTTGAAAAAAATTTAGACGAATGTATAACTAGAATAACCAATACAGAGAAGTGCTTAAAGGAGCTGATGGAGCTGAAAGCCAAGGCTCGAGAACTATGTGAAGAATGCAGAAGCCTCAGGAGCCGATACGATCAACTGGAAGAAAGGGTATCAGCGATGGAAGATGAAATGAATGAAATGAAGTGAGAAGGGAAGTTTAGAGAAAAAAGAATAAAAAGAAATGAACAAAGCCTCCAAGAAATATGGGACTATGTGAAAAGACCAAATCTATGTCTGATTGGTGTACCTGAAAGTGATGGGGAGAATGGAACCAAGTTGGAAAACAATCTGCAGGATATTATCCAGGAGAACTTCCCCAGTCTAGCAAGGCAGGCCAACATTCAGATTCAGGAAATACAGAGAACGCCACAAAGATACTCCTCGAGAAGAGCAACTCCAAGACACATAATTGTCAGATTCACCAAAGTTGAAATGAAGGAAAAAATGTTAAGGGCAGCCAGAGAGAAAGGTCAGGTTACCCACAAAGGGAAGCCCATCAGACTAACAGAGCATCTCTCGGCAGAAACTCTACAAGCCAGAAGAGAGTGGGGGCCAATATTCAACATTCTTAAAGAAAAGAATTTTCAACCCAGAATTTCATATCCAGCCAAACTAAGCTTCATAAGTGAAGGAGAAATAAAATCCTTTACAGACAAGCAAATGCTGAGAGATTTTGTCACCACCAGGCCTGCCCTAAAAGAGCTCCTGAAGGAAGCACTAAACATGGAAAGGAACAACCAGTACCAGCTGCTGCAAAATCATGCCAAAATGTAAAGACCATTGAGACTAGGAAGAAACTGCATCAGCTAACAAGCAAAATAACCAGCTAACATCATAATGACAGGTTCAAATTCACACATAACAATATTAACTTTCAATGTAAATGGACTGAATGCTCCAATTAAAAGACACAGACTGGCAAATTGGATAAAGAGTCAAGACCCATCAGTGTGCTGTATTCAGGAAACCCATCTCACGTGCAGAGACACACATAGGCTCAAAATAAAAGGATGGAGGAAGATCTACCGAGCAAATGGAAAACAAAAAAAGGCAGGGGTTGCAATCCTAGTCTCTGATAAAACAGACTTTAAACCAACAAAGATCAAAAGAGACAAAGAAGGCCATTACATAATGGTAAAGGGATCAATTCAACAAGAAGAGCTAACTATCCTAAATATATATGCACCCAATACAGGAGCACCCAGATTCATAAAGCAAGTCCTGAGTGACCTACAAAGAGACTTAGACTCCCACACATTAATAATGGGAGGCTTTAACACCCCACTGTCAACATTAGACAGATCAACGAGACAGAAAGTCAACAAGGATACCCAGGAATTGAACTCAGCTCTGCACCAAGCGGACCTAATAGACATCTACAGAACTCTCCACCCCAAATCAACAGAATATACATTTTTTTCAGCACCACACCACACCTATTCCAAAATTGACCACATACTTGGAAGTAAAGCTCTCCTCAGCAAATGTAAAAGAACAGAAATTATAACAAACTATCTCTCAGACCACAGTGCAATCAAACTAGAACTCAGGGTTAAGAAACTCACTCAAAACCGCTCAACTACATGGAAACTGAACAACCTGCTCCTGAATGACTACTGGGTACATAACAAAATGAAGGCAGAAATAAAGATGTTCTTTGAAACCAATGAGAACAAAGATACAACATACCAGAATCTCTGGGACACATTCAAAGCAGTGTGTAGAGGGAAATTTATAGCACTAAATGCCCACAAGAGAAAGCAGGAAAGATCCAAAATTGACAGCCTAACATCACAATTAAAAGAACTAGAAAAGCAAGAGCCAACACATTCAAAAGCTAGCAGAAGGCAAGAAATAACTAAAATCAGAGCAGAACTGAAGGAAATAGAGACACAAAAAACCCTTCAAAAAATTAATGAATCCAGGAGCCGGTTTTTTGAAAGGATCAACAAAATTGATAGACTGCTAGCAAGACTAATAAAGACAAAAAGAAGAATCAAATGGACGCAATAAAAAATGATAAAGGGGATATCACCACCGATCCCACAGAAATACAAACTACCATCAGAGAATACTACAAACACCTCTATGCAAATAAACTAGAAAATCTAGAAGAAATGGATGAATTCCTGGACACATACACTCTCCCAAGACTAAAGCAGGAAGAAGTTGAATCTCTGAATAGACCAATAACAGGATCTGAAATTGTGGCAATAATCAATAGCTTACCAACCAAAAAGAGTCCAGGACCAGATGGATTCACAGCCGAATTCTACCAGAGGTACAAGGAGGAACTGGTGCCATTCCTTCTGAAACTATTCCAATCAATAGAAAAAGAGGGAATCCTCCCTAGCTCATTTTATGAGGCCAGCATCATCCTGATACCAAAGCCGGGCAGAGACACAACCAAAAAAGAGAATTTTAGACCAATATCCTTGATGACATTGATGCAAAAATCCTCAATAAAATACTGGCAAACTGAATCCAGCAGCACATCAAAAAGCTTATCCACCATGATCAAGTGGGCTTCATCCCTGGGATGCAAGGCTGGTTCAATATACACAAATCAATAAATGTAATCCAGCATATAAACAGAACAAAAGACAAAAACCACATGATTATCTCAATAGATGCAGAGAAGGCCTTTGACAAAATTCGACAACCTTCATGCTAAAAACTCTCAATAAATTAGGTATTGATGGGACGTATCTCAAAATAATTAGAGCTATCTATGACAAACCCACAGCCAATATCATACTGAATGGGCAAAAACTGGAAGCATTCCCTTTGAAAACTGGGCACAAGACAGGGATGCCCTCTCTCACCACTCCTATTCAACATAGTGTTGGAAGTTCTGGCCAGGGCAATTAGGCAGGAGAAGGAAATAAAGGGTATTCAATTAGGAAAAGAGGAAGTCAAATTGTCCCTGTTGTAGACGACATGATTGTTTATCTAGAAAACCCCATTGTCTCAGCCCAAAATCTCCTTAAGCTGATAAGCAACTTCAGCAAAGTCTCAGGATACAAAATCAATGTACAAAAATCACAAGCATTCTTATACACCAATAACAGACAAACAGAGAGCCAAATCATGAGTGAACTCCCATTCACAATTGCTTCAAAGAGAATAAAATACCTAGGAATCCACCTTACAAGGGATGTGAAGGACCTCTTCAAGGAGAACTACAAACCACTGCTCAATGAAATTAAAGAGGATACTAACAAATGGAAGAACATTCCATGCTCATGGATAGGAAGAATCAATATCGTGAAAATGGCCATACTGCCCAAGGTAATTTATAGATTCAATGCCATCCCCATCAAGCTACCAATGACTTTCTTCACAGAATTGGAAAAAACTACTTTAAAGTTCATATGGAACCAAAAAAGAGCCCGCATCGCCAAGTCAATCCTAAGCCAAAAGAACAAAGCTGGAGGCATCACGCTACCTGACTTCAAACTATACTACAAGGCTACAGTAACCAAAACAGCACGGTACTGGTACCAAAACAGAGATATAGATCAATGGAACAGAACAGAGCCCTCAGAAATAACGCCGCATATCTACAACTATCTGATCTTTGACAAACCTGAGAAAAACAAGCAATGGGGAAAGGATTCCCTATTTAATAAATGGTGCTGGGAAAACTGGCTAGCCATATGTAGAAAGCTGAAACTGGATCCCTTCCTTACACCTTATACAAAAATCAATTCAAGATGGATTAAAGACTTAAACGTTAGACCTAAAACCATAAAAACCCTAGAAGAAAACCTAGGCATTACCATTCAGGACATAGGCATGGACAAGGACTTCATGTTTAAAACACCAAAAGCAATGGCAACAAAAGCCAAAATTGACAAATGGGATCTAATTAAACTCAAGAAGCTTCTGCACAGCAAAAGCAACTACCATCAGAGTGAACAGGCAACCCACAAAATGGGAGAAAATTTTCACCACCTACTCATCTGACAAAGGGCTAATATCCAGAATCTACAATGAACTCAAACAAATTTATAAGAAAAAAACAAACAACCCCATCAAAAAGTAGGCAAAGGACATGAACAGACACTTCTCAAAAGAAGACATTTATGCAGCCAAAAAACACATGAAAAAATGCTTACCGTCACTGGCCATCAGAGAAATGCAAATCAAAACCACAATGAGATATCATCTCACACCAGTTAGAATGGCAATCATTAAAAAGTCAGGAAACAACAGGTGCTGGAGAGGATGTGGAGAAATAGGAACACTTTTACACTGTAGGTGGGACTGTAAACTAGCTCAACCATTGTGGAAGTCAGTGTGGCGATTCCTCTGGGATCTAGAACTAGAAATACCATTTGACCCAGCCATCCCATTACTGGGTATATACCCAAAGGACTATAAATCATGCTGCTGTAAAGACACATGCACAGGTATGTTTATTGTGGCTCTATTCACAATAGCAAAGACTTGGAACCAACCCAAATGTCCAACAATGATAGGCTGGATTAAGAAAATGTGGCACATATACACCATGGAATACTATGCAGCCATAAAAAATGATGAGTTCATGTCCTTTGTAGGGACATGGATGAAATTGGAAATCATCATTCTCAGTAAACTATCCCAAGAACAAAAAAACAAACACTGCATATTCTCACTCATAGGTGGGAATTGAACAATGGGAACAGATGGACACAGGAAGGGGAACATCACACTCTGGGGACTGTTGGGGGGAGGGGGGAGGGATAGCATTGGGAGATGTACCTAATGCTAGATGACAAGTTAGTGGGTGTAGCGCACCAGCATGTCACATGTGTACATATGTAACTAACCTGCACATTGTGCACATGTACCCTAAAACTTAAAGTATAATAATAATAATAAAAAAGGCTCTTACATTTGATATGAAGTAATATATTTTTTAAAAGTAATAAAAGATACATATTGCAATCTCCAGAACTACTATAAAAATAACTAAACGAAGCAGAATTAAAGAGCCAATAGAGGAATTAAAAGAAAAAAAAACATGAGAAACACACAAATAAACCAAATATTATAAATAATCCATTTAAGTAGAGATCTTTAGATTGGATAAGAAAGAAATCAAGCCTCAGCTATGAAACAAGATGCCATCCAGATGATATGCATTTTATATATAAGCTTGAGAGCAGCAACATGGAAGGAGCTGGAGGCTATTATCCTAAGCAAATTAATGCAGGAACAGAAAACCAACTACTGCATGTTCTCACTTATACATAGGAACTAAGAACCGAGCACACATGGACATAAATATGGAAACAACAGACACTGTGGACTACTAGATGGTGTGGGTGGGTGGATTGAAAAAAACTATTCACTACTGTCATGCCATATTTCCATGTGACAAATCTGCACATGTATCCCCTGTTGAAATAAAAGAGGCCTGGCACGGTGGCTCACATCTGTAATCCCAGCACTTTGGGAGGCTGAGACAGGTGGATCACCTAAGGTCAGGAGTTCAAGACCAGCCTGGCCAACATGGTGAAACCTTGTCTGTACTAAAAATACAAAAAATTAGCTGGGCATGATGGCAGGTGCCTGTAATCCCAGCTACCTGGGAGGCTGAGTCAGGAGAATCACTTGAGCCTGGGAGGCGGAGGTTGCAGTGAGCCGGAGATCGCACCGTTACACTCCAGCCTGGGTAACAAGAGAGAAACTCTGTCTCAAAAAAAAAAAAAAAAAAAAAAAGAGAAAGTTGAAATAAAAGTAAAAGAAAAAGGAAGAGATATATATATATATATATATATATATCCCATTGCTATATATATAGCTTATTGCAAACAAAAAGCATTAGACACACACAAACGTGACATCTATATTAATTCAGGGAAAGTAGATTTCAAGAAAATGCACATAACCTGAGATAATGAGAAACATTTTTTTATGATGAAATTGAAGATTTCATCCTTAAATTTGCCAGGAAAACAAAATACTCATGAAAGTGTAGATGCAGAATAACCAAACAACACATGAAGGGAAAGCTAACAGGACTAAATGTTTCAATAGATAAGTCCATAGTCAAACATGGAGATGTAAACATTCCTTTCTCCATAACTGGTGGAACAAATTATCTTAGTGTCTGCTGTTATAACAAATTACCTGAGACTGGGTGATTTATAAAGAACAGACATTTATTTTCTCACAGTTCTAGTGGCTAGGAAGTCCAGGGTCAAGATTCTAGCTGTTTCCATACCTGGTAAGGACTGCACTTCATGTCCAAGATGATGCCTCTTGCTGTGAGCTCACATGGTGGAAGAGATGGAAGGGCGAAATACCCTAGCTAGTTCTCTCCAGCCCTTTGATAAAGCACTAATCTCATCCATGATGGGGGAGCCCTTCTGACCTAATCACTTTTTAAAGGCCCTGCCTCTTATTATTGTTGTACTGGGTATTAAGTTTCAAAATGAATTTGGAGGAGACACAAATATTCAAACTGTAGCACAATTAGAGAAAAGAAAATCAGTAAAGATAAACAATGTCAACCATGTTTACCTACTCAGTATTTCACTGAAACAATACAGCATGTACATTTTTTAAAATGCAATGTAATAATAAGCAAATTGTCTTTATGTTGGGCTATATAAGTCTCAGCAAATACTGAGATATTACAATTATAGGAATATGCTGTCTGATCAAAATTGAATTTGACTAGAAATCTATAATAACATTTTTGCAAAGGGCACATTTCTAAATAAATCATGGGTCAAAGAAGAAATAATGAGAAATTAGGAAATATCTTGGGTAGAATGGTAATGAAACTAGGATACATTATGATTTGTGTAGCTAAATAGTGATTAGAGGGAAATTTAGACCTTCAAATGCTCACAGTAAAAAAAGGAGAAATGTTTAAAATCAATGATCTAATTTTCTACTTTACGAAGCTAGAAATAAATGAGCAAATTAAATCTAAAGTAAGTAGAAGAAAGGAAATAAATGGTAAGAGCAGAAATAAATAGACAATAAAAAATAGAGAAAACAAAAAATAACAACACAGAAACGTATTCTCATAACATTACAAATTCAGTCTTCCTGATACCCACCCATGGTCTAAGTTTTACCATTTATACACTCAAAGGACCGGTGATTTCTTCTTGTATAATGCTGAAGATATCTGAAAACGCCTCTTCTCATGCCCCTAACCTGACAAGTTTCCAACTCTAGTAACAGAAATGCAATTAGAACAGTAACATCAGAAACGTTAGTGTTAGACCTGGGTATTTATTTTTCCCGCTTTTGGAAAACTGTATTCTAAAGGTCATCACACTCTTAGCACCTTTTCCCAGTTGTTCTCCACTTGCTATTAGGCTCTTGGGTAGTGTCAAAATGGTCACATGTACTTTTACATATGCAGGTAACCTTGAGATTAATAATTACTTAAATAGCACATACTATTACATTCATTTACCATTTTAATAACCAGTTATCAACACAGTTGTATTAGGATTGAAGGTAAAACTACAATTTGAGCTACAAGAATATTAAAGATGAAGCATTTTTAAAAGTGCCTGATTTTGATTCAACCTCCCTGTTAATACATTTCATACAAATTATGTCTGGGCCACATCTAAACTACTTGACAAAGGTTTTGCTATGATTTGAATATTTGCTCCCTTTAAAACTCATGTTGAAATTTTGGCTGGGCATGGTGGCTCCTGCCTGTAATCCCAGCAATTTGGGAGGCCAAAGCTGGAGGATCACTTGAGGTCAGGAGTTTGAGACCAGCTTCATCAACATGGTGAAACCCTGTCTCTACTAAAAATTCAAGAAATAGCCATGCGTGGTGGTACGTGCATGTAGTCCCAGCTGCTTAGGAGGTTGATGCAGAAAAATCGCTTGAGCCCTGGGGGAAAAAGTTGCAGTGAGCCAAGACGGTGCCATTGCACTCCAGCCTGGGTGACAAAGTGAGACACTGTCTCAAAACTAACAAACAAAAAGACTCATGTTGAAATTTAACCTCCAATGTGGCAGCATCAAGACTTACAGCCTGTAAGAGGGGATTGGATCATGAAGGTGCTCATGATTGGATTAATTTATTCTTGGATTAGTGGATTAACGGGTGACGGGATTAATGGAGTATCCTTGGAGAGGAAGCCAATGGCTTTATAAGAAGAGGAAGAGAGATTTGAGCTGGCAAATAGGCATGCCCAGCTCCCTCACCATGTGATACCCTGTGCCCTGTGGGAATCCTCACCAGCAAGAAGTCTCTCACCAGATGTGGCCTCTCAACTTGGACTTCTCAGCCTTTACAACTGTAAGAAATACATTTATTTTCTTTATGAATAACCCAGTTCTAGGGACTCTGTGATAAGCAACAGAAAACAGACTATCAGAAAATGGGCACTGAGCACTGGGTTGTTGCTCTTGAATACCTGAAAAGGGCAAGCAGCTGGGTAATGGGCAGAAACTGGAAGAATCTGGAGGAGCAGGCTAGAAAAAAAACCTAGAGTCTGATGAGGGCTTCGGATACAAGAAGACTAGGGAAGGTTGGGAACTCCTTAGCAAGTGGTTAGTGGTCCAGACCAGAATGCTGATATAAATATGAACAGTAAAGGTCATTCTGACAAGGTTTCAGATGGAACTGGAGGACAAGGTGCTAGAAACTGGGGTAAAGGTCTTCCTTATTATAAATTCACGAAGAAGTGGGCTGAATGAACTGTACTTACGTTTGAGGGCTTTGTGGAAGGCCAAACTGAAAGTGATGAATGCGGTTATTTGACAGAAGAAATTTCCCAGCAAAATACAGAAGAAGCTTCATGGTTTCTTTTTACCACTTATGAGATTTGGAAACAAAGGAACAATTAAAAGACAGAATTTACAATTAAAAGGGAAGCAGAGCAGAAAGATTTGGAAAACTTTCAGCCTGACCATGTGAAAAGCAAAGTGTATTTGAGAGAGCAAACCAAAGGTGTAGCCCCGCAATCTTTTGCCAAAGAAATTAGTAGGGAAAGAAGGGGATCATCAAGAGAATGGAAAAAAAAAAGTCATTTCAGAGCTCTTCAAGGCATCCCCTACCATCACAGGTCCAGAGGCCTAGGAGGGCAGATGGGTTTAGGGGATAGACCTGGGGCCCCCTCCACAGGCTCCCAGGACGCCTCAGGTCTCTCCTCCCTGAGTTTGAATGCGGTGCTCCTGGGCCACTTCAGCTGTGGCAAATGTGTCCCCAGGTGTGGCTTGACTTGTCATTTAGAGAGATACAAGCTGTAAGCCTTGAAGACTTCCATGTGATACTAATTTGCAGGCTTACAGAAAGCAAGAGCTGTGGAGGACTGACAGCTTCCACCCAGATTTCAAGGGATTTTGTCAAAAGCCTGAGGGACCCAGGCAGATACTTGTCACTAGGGTAGAGCTGTCACAGAGAGGCTTTGCTACAGCAATGCTGAGCAGAAATATGGATTTGAAGCTGCAACAGAGTCCCCAGCCGGGACCGCCACAAAGCTATCAACAACTGGGAGAGCTGGGGTTTCTGAGCCCAGCAAAACCACAGGAGTGGGGCTGTCAGAGGCACTGGAGGCACAATCCCCCCCACCGATGTAGAGAGGATACTTCATAACATTGAATCAAAGAAGATTATGCTGACATCTTAAAATCCAATGTCTACGCTCTTGAAATTTGGACTTTTGAGTTGGTGTTGGAAGGAGTTACGACTTTGGGGCTATGGGGATAGAATGAATGTATTTGTATGTGAGAAAGACTTGAGTTTCAGGGGCAGGTGGGGGTGAAATGTCATAGTATAAATATTTGTCCCATCTAAAGCTCATGTTGAAATTTAACCTCTAATTGGGCAGTATTCAGAGGTGAGGCTTTTAACAGAAGATTAGATAATAAGGGTTCTGCACTCATTGATGGATTAATGGATTAGCGGGTTAGTAGATCAATGTGTTATCATGGGAGAGGTACTGGTGACTTTATAAGAAGAGAGAGATCTAGGCTAGCATGCTAGCATGATCAACCCCCTTCTGTGTGATACCTCGTGTCCCTCGGAACACTGCAGAACATCCAACCGGCAAGAAGGCCCTGATGCATTGTGATTCCTCGACTCTGAACTTTTCAGTCTCCACAACAATAAGAAATAAACTCCTTTTCTTTATAAATTACTCAGTTTTAGGTATTCTGTTATAAACCACAGAAAACGGACAGGTTTCAAACACTCGGGTAGATTGAAGACTGCTCATAGAACTGGAGGTTGGTCTGAAAGTACAGAGTCAGTGGTATGATAAGCCCAAGGCAATGGCAAAACTTAGGTGCTTACAGTGGTTGTGAGACATTGCTGAGAAGTTGTGGGTCCATGGATGTGTGTACCAGCAGAGGCCATCTGGAAATCATGAAAACAAACTTGAAAGACTTGAAGTCTGGAAAAGATAAAATTAGATGTAGGAAAAACTGGATCTTAAGAGAGCATTGGCAATGGGAAGGCCAATAGGTAGAGATAGTTGAGATATATGAGATGAAGCTTTTGAAGAGGTAATGTCCAAAATATTGAATACTACAGGCACGGGGCAGGACTGGCCATACTATGTAGGATAATCCTTGGGTAATCTTATATCATGTATGGCTCATCCACTACAACTTACTACTAATAAAAGCATAATGTGTTATTGGTAAATGCACAAGTTCAAGTCATAAAACAAGTAAAGTATAATAGTTTATTCTCAGTATAGCCTAAATGTTTTCTTTAAATTTTATTGGTGAAATACATCATGTATGATGGGGTTTTCAGAAACACTGTATGATTTAGATTCAGCTCTTAAACAGTGTATAGTTTGATGTATCATAGAATCTAATAAAAATGCTAAACCAGGCCATTAAATATTTATGCGCCGTTTGTATATTGCGTTGCGAAGGGACTTTAATTAGTTTGTTGCACAAGACAGAATCTGCATTTCCATAAGGGGAAGAAATGTTAAGATGAATGTCCTAGCCAGAACTTCCCACATAGAATGTTTTCAGGTCCAATCTGGAAACTATTCAAATAGTATTACAGAAATAAGAACAAGATGAAGTAAGGGCAGAAAGTATAAAGTGAAGATTAGTCAATCAATGAGAGCACGTTATATTGTAATTAAAGCTGATTTGATGAAATGTAAATTACAGAGAATGCTGAGGATATTCTCTGCTCTGATAAACTTTCTCTTTAGTTGAGGGTACATCAGAAAACTCATTTTGTTGCCTTACTCGTGACACTTTAGGCACATTCTTATGATTTTAATTAATCCAATATCATCTTGCAATGTCTCAGGAGGGATGCCAGGGGAATAGGAATTAACGTTAGAGTAACAGAGGGCTAGTCTTGAGGAAATCAAACTCTCCCACATCTCAGCTGTGCAAACTTGTGAAGGTTATTCTCTGAGTCATATTAGTTTTAATTTATTGATTAGAAATATTAATAGTTTTTACAGAGCCTTTGTGAGAAGTATAAATTAAAGAAATTATGATTTAATTAATAATCATAGTTCTCAGTCCATAATAGATGCTTAGCCAATGTTTTTCTTTCCATTCTTGTCTCAGGCTCATTATTCTGCATATGCTTTTATTCCTCTATCCACATTTTCAATTAACACATTTTTCTGAGTCTACCTGTTAGTCTCAACTCAGTTGAGTTGAGTCACAGTTCTACCTGTTAGTCTCAGTTCTCATTGCCACATTTTAAAATTAGATACTTAACAAAATCAGCTTACTGCAGGGTTCCCTGAGGGAAAATCAGTCACCACTCAAACTCTTCCAACTCATGTGTCTCTATTGATTGTTCTAAATTACTAATTCCATATTGAATTTTAGTTCTTTGGCTATTGTTCAAAGTCCTCATCTGTATGTATTTAAGTTTATATCTCACTATTTCCAGCATGATGTCTTTGCTCTAGATGATAGCCAATAGCTATGCAAGCAGTCTGTACATTACAGCCATCACCTGTAACTAATTTTGTCACTGTTTTGGCCCCAAGTAAAGTAACTCTAAGCTCATTTTTCTTGAGCCAGTTATTTGACCTCTCTATGACTCAGTATTCTAATCTATCAAATGGGAACACGAAACACTGTCTACCACATAAAGTAATGCTCAACATGTGTCTGTTGTTGTTTTAGAATTGTTATGAAACTGCACACAGAACAGCAATTTCCCTAGGAATTTTCCTATGTTGTTTTACAACGATCTCACTTCTTTGAACCCAGTAACACTTGACGCTAATCCTATTATGTTGTAGGTCTTTAATTCACCTGGCTTTTGTGTACATATTTACCTCTAAATAAACAAGCAAAAAATACATTATTTAGTGGCATGGCTGAGTTATAGTTATTTTTGTATCTTCAGTAGAATTGTGGGTATAGTGACGTGGAAAATGAATAAAAATTAGCTGTTATAGAAACCTAACAATAAATAAATAAATAAATACAGCTTTAGTTGTTTTTGTTGTTGTTATTTTATATTGAGTTTGATTTTGTTCGTATTAAAATAATATAATTTCTGATTTTAGTTTCTTATCCCTTCTCGGGGAATTCTCATATTTCCCATTCTCTCCCCAAAACATAAGTGCTATGGAAAGGGAACTTTTGATAAGAAAAGCCATTAATTCATTTATGTAGAATTTGACTTAAATTCTAATATTTTGATCAAATTTTGCAGTGTCTAAACGGTAATTTACAATTGGTGGTTGAGCAATGAATGTTTCTCAAATGCGTTTTTCTCCTCCTTGTTTTGGCTTTTCTTCAAGCACACTTTTCTACAGAGCTTTCTATCTTTTTTTCACCCATCCTTTCAACTATATTATACTATCCCATGGAGCTCAGAAGCCAATCACCCAGCATTATTTGTGTAACTTTCATTAATGGTAATTTGCTTAGTCCCTGCAGGCTGTTATGATAAAATACCTTAAACTGGGTAATTTATTAACAACAGAAATTCATTGTTTGAATTAGGCCTCAAAAAATTTATTATTTGAGCTTGGACTTCCCAGCTCCCAGTTCTGGAGCTGGGAAGTCAGAGATCAAGTTGCCAGCAGATTTAGTGTCTGGTGACGATTCTCTGCTTTACAGATGACACCTTCAATGGGTCCTTACCTGGCAGAAGGAACAAACAAACTCCCTTATGCCTCTTTTATAAGGGCACAGATCCCTTTCATGATGGTTGCCCTTGTGAATGGGATTGGCACCTTTTAAGAGTCACTTTCCAGAAATCCCACCTCTTAATACCAACATATTCGTGATTAGAATTCATATACAAATTTGAATGGGACACAATCATTCAGACCATAGCATTAACAAATTAGAGAAACATAGATCACCAAGTTCAGATATATATTTAATATGAAATTGGTGTTAAAACTGTAGGTGGTACTAATTAATTACTAATGCTGTACAGTTATTCAAGTCTTTTTATTCCCATCATTAATGACTAAAATCAGAAGCAAAGAGTTCAGATTTCAATAAAGAATAAAAATCATATTTAAAATAAAATAACAATTTAAAAAGCCAATTAGTAAAACACTGGGCATAACATCAAATTTTAATAGTCTTAAAAGCTATCATTGCTATTTGGTAAAGAAACTCACACTGAATGTCTAGTACAAAAAAGAAGACAGAATATTATAATCTCATGGAATTCTCAAATATGAAAATAAGAACTATGCTAGAAAATAGAATAAGAAATTCTACATTAAATGGAGATGGATATCCCAAGGAAAAATATAAACATTTTATTCTCTTTGACAATCTATTCTTTTCTGAGGGCTTATCCATATGGCAAGGTGAAAAGGAAACTGGATTAGTTATTTAGGTAATGCAGAAAAAAACAAAAAATGGTAGGAGCATTGCTTTTATTCTAAATAATTTCCAATATATAATTCTGACAATAGTATCTTCTGGCACATAGTAGGTGCTAGATATCTTTCTTTCTCTCTTTCTTTCTTTCCTTCCTTCCTTCCTTCCCTCCCTCCCTCTTTTTCTTTCTTTCTTTTTTCTTCTTTCCTTCTTTCCTTCTTTCTTGTCTAATATTTTTCTCCTGCAGTAAAGTTACTTATGATTTGTAAAATTATAACAAAACTCAAGTAGCATTAACTCAAATAGGTTCTACCAGAGTAACGACATCATAGCGGCTCTCTATTGTTATATTATAGAAGGTTTTAAAGATTAACATTAATATGATCTCATGGTTGAGTAAACAGAGACACACTAAAAACTGACAATTTTCCAGGTTCTATTTACTCTATTTCATAATGTGGGCTTAACATTTTCTACACTACTCAGCTATGAAGTACTCACGCATATTTGATGGGAGAAAATTATCTTTATAAAGAGTTATATTCATGATTTTATTTTGTTTAGTGGAAGTGGAGGTTCGTAGATGAAAGATTTGGGTGTACAGAGCTAAGAGCTGAGGATTATATATAGTCATATGGTCATAGTGGATAATATATGATGTGCCAGGACATAAATAACTTCTAATATGAGGACTGATCATAGGCAGTGGGCTATGAAACTATTTCAGCAGGACAGAACATATGTGCATATATCTTTAGTGAAACCTGAATTAGATTGGATATCATACCTGTTTTTCAGAAAATGTCAGTAACTTATCATAGTATTAAAGCACAATAAATTACATAATGGGGAAAACATTATAGCCTGTTTAAGAACTATAACATTGTCTCTATCCCCAACCACAGTTTATCTCAGCTTTCTGGTTATTGGCAAAATATTTACCTTTGTTGTCTGACACAAAGGGAGGTTTATTATTATTATTATTATTATTATTATTATTATTATTATTTTGAGACAGAGTCTCACTCTGTTGCCCATCCTGGAATGCAGTGGCATGATCTCAGGTCACTGCAGCCTCCACCTCCCACGTTCAAGCAATTCTCCTGCCTCAGCCCCGCGAGTAGCTGGGATTACAGGCATGTCCCACCGTGCCCAGCTAATTTTTGTATTTTTCATAGAGAGGGAATTTTGCCATGTTGGCCAGGCTTGTCTCGAACTCCTGACCTCAGGGTGATCTGCCCACCTTGGCCTCCCGAAGTGCTGGGATTACAGGTGTGAGCCACTGTGCCCGGCCAAAGGGAGATATTTTTATGACAGGAATTTGACCATGGACTTTGAGGTCAGAATGACTGTGACATTAATAAGGCAGGTCATGAATAACTTACTTAACTTCTTTAAGAGTCATTTAACTTACTTGTGAAATATAAAAAAAAAAATCACCCTTATTAGGAAGTAGTGATGATTAAGTGACATAATGTTTGCAAAATATTGTCATTCTTTTTGTGCTTTTTGCAATACATTTGCCATAGTGTATTGTAATTATTGATTTACTTATCTTTTTCATCTGGACTTATAGCCCTTTGAAGAAAGAAATTGTATTTTTTTCCCACTTAATGTCTAGAGCAATACCACATATGCACAGCAGGCATTCAATATATGTTCATAAATAAATGGAAGTGGTGTGCATGCCATTGACTATCGGACAATAATTTTCCAATATTCCCTTAAGTTAAATTTCTCCACTCACATGTTTTATAACTTTGAATAAACAATTTTGCTAAACATGTAAAATGAGTAGGAAAGTACCATTAAGTAATATAAAAGTGATAGAGATTGGAGTTTTCATCAGCTCCATATCTGGAGCTTAGGTGCATTTTTAGACCCAAATCCTTACCTTCCTCTGAATGTGTTCTCTTCTCCTCTCTGTTGGACATGTATCAACTGCTGCCCCATATTCACTTCCAACCCATCTCAACCCCTTTTGGGAGTATATCATAATTATTTCTTGACCTCTGACTTCCAGGTCAGCGGAGGCACCAGCAGTAGATCTTAGATAGAAGGAGAGATGTCGAGATATATATTCCCTCACTTATTTCCTTCTGGGTTTTGTGGTTCTTCACTGACCCTCTTTTCTATCCATCCAACTACCTCTCCAAATTCCTTTAACTGGCTCCTCTGCTTTTCCCCTTCTTAAAAAATTTTTTTTTTGATTTAAGGGGTACATGTGCAGGTTTGTTACATGGATATATTGCATAATGGTGGGATTTGGGCTTCTAGTGCACCGTTCACCCAAGTAGTGACCATTCTAATCAATAGGCAATTTTTTTTAAATCTTCATCCTCCTCCCAACCTTCCCCATTTTGGAGTCCCCAGTGTCTATTGTTTTCATCTTTATGTCCTTTGTGCCCATTGTTTAGCTCCCACTTATAAGTGGAATCATAGTATTTGATTTTCTGTTTGAGTTATTTCACTTAGGATAATGGCCTTCAGCTCCATCCATGTTGTTGCAAAGGACATGATTTTGTTCTTTTGTTATGGCTGCGTAGTATTTCATGCTGTATATATACAACATTTTCTTTATTTAATCACCTGTCGATGGACACATAGCATGATTCCATGACTTTGCTGTTGTGAATGGTACTTGAATAAACATATGAGTTCAGATGATTTTTAATATAATACTTTCTTTTTGGGGTGATAGATACCCAGTACTGGAATTTCTGGGTCAAATGCTAATTCTACTTTTAGTTCTGTGAGAAATTTCAACACTGTTGTCTGTAGAGGTTGTACTAATTTACATACCTACCAACAGGGTGTAAGTGTTCCCTTTTCTCTGCATTCATGCCAACATCCGTTGTTTTTTGACTTTTTAGTAATAGCCATTCTGACTGATGTAAGATGATATCTTATTGTGGTCTTGATTTGTATTTCTTGGATAATTAGTAATGTTGAGCATTTTTTTCCTTTTATACAAGTAAGTGGCAAAACTTTGTGCTCTCTACTGTACGTAATCCAGTGGTACAGCCCTATTCATTGTTGCTCTTCTAAGTCCATCCAGAATTTATAGATACCTCCTTTATTGAACTCCTTAAAATTACTCAGTTCCACATGTAAAACCATAAAGATAATTGTAATTAATAATTGTAGAGGTGTGTTTTTTGGGGGTTAAAAAGATTATTTATATGAAGTGTTTATCATAGTAATCTAATGTGGAAAAAATGAGTTAAGGCATATAGAACACTTAGAGCTTGACTGACATGTAGTACAAGCTAAAAAATGCTTCAAGATGTTGCAATTGTTATGATCAATGTATTACACATATTATTTTCATCTCTGATATTTTATAGCTTTCTCTATCTCTTGTCTCAATTTGCAAATTCCCTGAAGAAAGTGTTCATGCCTGCGTTATTCTTCTATCACTACTGCTTATCATAAGGTGGGGCAAAAGGAACACTCAACATTTTTTTTGAAAAGCCTAAATGAATAAATTATTCACAATACATTTTTGAAGAAAGAGCAAAATGTTTAGTTATTATGCTTAATTTAGTATTAATGATCAATTCTTTAAATTTATTATCTCTATTTCTGTAGAAATAAGCTACATCTTTGGAGAATATAACTATGGTTACAGTCAAGCATCTGGAACCTTACTGAGAAATGAAATGATTAGGATGATTATGTTCTTAACAAGCTTATACAACATCTGCTAATGTGAACTTGAGCTATGGGGCAGGTAAAACCTTACACAATATTCCATTATGAGTAACAAGGCATCTTTCAAATTTAAGTATTTATAGATTTTTCTTAAGAACTAAATTTTTTGTTTGTGAAATTGCATTTGAAACAGACTTCCTTATTTTAACGGTGTTTGCCTGTCACAATTTAACACCCTAAGAAATCTTCAAAACTTATTTTGAATTGCAATGCATTTATTAGGATGTCTACAGAATAAATACTTGAATAAATATTTCCCAGATGCTTAAACATGTAAGTTAAGAGCCTCAGTTAATGACTCAGAAATCACTGTTCAATTCTCAGGATATGTATTTGTTGGAATTTCAGGCTCTGTATTTAGCCTATATAAGTTATAGCTTCAATAAGTGACCTTATAAGTTAGAACTAATGCAACCAATTAATCATTATTGTTATGAAATTGATGAAAACAGTATATGAAAATACCCTGCATATATCCTATTATATAGAACACACTGAATTTTTAATTTACTATTCTTTTTATCTTCATTTTCTTAATAATTTAAAATAACTTAAACATAAGCCAACTTAATAGCAACAAAAAATAAAGAAATACAACAAAATAAATGAACACAAACAAAACAAACATAGAGACCAGATTATAGACCCTAAGGGGTTCTGTGGATCAAATTTTATTTATTTATATGCAGAGATATTGCTATGGGCTGAAAGTTAGTGTCCCTCCAAAACTCATATGTTTACATCTAGTCCCCAAGGTGATAGCATTAGGAGATGGGAACTTTGGGAAGGTGATTAGGTAATGAGGGCAGAGTTCTCACTAATGGGATTTGTGGCCTTGTAAAATAGGCCCAAGGGAGCTGATTCAGCCCTTCCATCATGTGAGGATGCTGCTAGAGTGCACGATCTATGAACCAGAATGTGCGCTTTTCTAGATACCCTATCTCCTGATCTGTTTTGATTGTGGACTACTCCAGCATCCAGAATTGTGAGAAACACATTTCTGTTGTTTATTTGATGGTATTCTGTTATATAGCAACCAAAACATACTAAACAGAAAATTGGTATTGAGAAGTAGGGGTGCTGCTGTAATAATTAAGTCTAAAAATGTGGAAGCAGCTTTGGAGCTGGAAAATGGGTGGAAGACTTGAAGGGTTTGGAGTTTCATGCTAGAAAATCTCTGTATTTCTATAAACAGGCTGTTAAGAATAATTCTGGTGAGGCCCAGCAAGACAAAAGGATAGCTGTAGAGAAAGCCTCAATCTTCTTAGAGAATACCTAAGTGGTTGTGAACAGAAGTTTGGTAGAAATATGTAGAGTAAGACCACTCTGATGAGGTCTCAGGGAGAAATGAAGAACATGTTATTGGAAACTGGAGAAAAAGTGATATTTGTTATAAAGTGGCAGAGAACTTGACTGAATTGTGACTTAGTGCTTTATGAAAAGTACAACTTGTGAGCTATGAAATAGGATATTTGGCTGAATATATTTCTAAGCTAAGTGTCGAAGTTGTAGCTTGGCTTCTCTTGAGTGCTTATGATAAAATGTGAGCAGAAAGAATTCAATGACAGAATTTTTAATCATAAGGGTAGCAGAACTTAAAAATTTGGAAACTTGTCTGCCTATTCATATTGAAAAGAATAAGAAAGTGTGTTTAGGAAATAATGTCAATGGTATAGCTAAGCGACCATCTGATAAGAAAATTATTCAGCCTGCTAAACAGCAGTCAAAACCTATTGTCCCAAATAGTGAAAATATGACACAAAAGTATTTCAGGAATTATCAGGCCTGCCCTTCCCATCACAGACCTAAAATGTCTTGTCCTTGGGGACAGAATGGTTTCAAAGGAGTAGCTGTGTATGACCCCACAACCTCAGTACTCATTTCCTGGTGCCTCCTCAAGGATGTGCTCTCCATACTCTAACACAACATTCTCTGGTTGCTTAAGGTTCAGCTCCAGCAGGCCATGGTGGCTGTTTCTGAAGAGGACACAGGTGGTAAACCTCAGTGGTGTCTTTGCAGTACCATCTCTGCCAGCTCGCAGAATGCACAAGCTGTGGAAATGTGGTCACCTCTACCTAGATTTCAAAGGATAAAGCCACTCAGAACTACTATTATGCAACTCAAGCAGAGAGGCACCACAATGATGGGGCCACTAGAAAATTCCCACCAGGACAATGCCTCACGGAGCTATGGGAACAGGACTGTTCCTACAAACTTATACTGATACAACCACCAGTCTTGGAGAGCTATAGACACATGACTGTAAGCTGTGAGAGCTGTGGCATGGGCTGCACTCAGTAAAGCAGTGAGGGTGGCCTTCCAGAATCTTGAGGGCTCCATCCCTGCTCCAGTATTTCCAGGAGGTGGAACGCTGAGTCAAAGATTACTCTCACATCTTAAGATTTAATATTGTTTGACCTGTGAGTTTCAGACTTACTTGGGATATGTTAACCATTTATTCTTTCTTATTTCTTCTTTTTAGAGTGGGAATGTCTGTCGTATGCCTTTCTCACCATTGTATTTTGGAAGTGCTTCACTTGTTTGATTTCACAGTTTATGGGTGAATAGAAATTTGCCAGTATGAATTATACCATGAGTCTTACACAGCTGATTTAGATTATATTTATATGAGACTTTGAAACTAGACTTTAAAGTTGATGCTGGAACTAGTTAAGACTGTGAGGGTTATTAGGATGGAACGAATATATTTTGCATGCAAGTAAGATATTAATTTTGGAGAGCAAGGCGTAGAAAGCTGTGGTCTGAATGTTCGTGCCTCCTCATAATCATACGTTAAAACCTAAACCCAAGGTGATAGTATTAGGAGGTGAGGATTTTGGGGAAATGATCAGATCATGAGGTCTCATTAACAGAATGAATCACCTTTTATAGAGACTCCAAAGAGCTTCCTCATTCCTTCTGCTGTGTGAAGAAGACACAGCAAAAGGATGGCCATCTATGAACCAGAAAATGGAATCTCACCAGCTACCAAATCCACCAGCTCCTTCATCTTAGGCTTTCCAACCATGAGAATTGTGTAAAAATACATTTCTCTGGTTTATGAGCTATCTAGTCTATGATACTTTTTTCTAGCAGGCTTAAAGGATTAAGGTATCTTTTTATTTTTTCTAATTTTATTTATTCTGTCTCCTTTGAGGGAAAATAGGTCAATAAGAAGAAGAACTTGTTTCTAGATCAGTCATTATTTCCTGAGTGACTATGGCTGAACTACCGCTATAGCCTTCAGTTTCCTCATTCACATAAAATGACTTGAAATTGATAATCTCATTAAATTATATGAGTCTCTTCAATTTCAGTAGCTCTCTTGGTTTAACAATGTACTTATTTATTTTTGTCCACTAAATGTACTACTTATTTTTAGTAAGTGACCCAGTGTGCAAAAGGCCACGTGGATGAGTAACTGCTTAAGGCTCAGGAATCTCAGCTTTGGTCATAGCTCTGCCATCAATTTTCTGAAGACTTTTGCTTGATTTCTGTAAACCTAGATTTTCTCATATATAACATAAAAGCATAAGGAAACAAAAATTTCTGGTTCCTACCCACTACTTTTTTTCTCTGTAACAAACTACAACATTTTATAAATTTGTATTTCCTCAAAATATATTATTTCTGCTATTTACAAAAAGAAGGCTTTCTCTTAAATTTTCCTCAGTAATCTGCAGTGTTAAAAACACATTTCAAAAGTTAATGCATGTTATCATATCAATCAACTAAAGGTCATAAATTCATACACTTGTCTACTACAACTCTTTCATTCAAAGCTCAAATTTTTCCAATGACATTTTAAATATTTTCTTTGAGTAATAGTGGAAAATGTCTAATTAATCTTTATGCATTTTATTAATAGGCTTTACTTTGTAGAGCACTTTTAAGTTCACAGAAAAATTGAGTGAAAGATACAGAGACTTTCCATGTATCCTTGCCCCTCACTCAACAAACACAATGTCCCCATTATCAACATCTCCCACCAAAATGACGCGTTTGTTACAATCAATGAACCTGCATTGACAGATCATTATAACCCAGAGTCCATAGTTTGCATTAGGGTGACTTTTCAAAAACTCAATTAAATTTTGGCTCAAAGACATAGGACAAAAGGAAGTCCGATTATCTAGAAAAGTTTCGAACAGATTCAAGAATTCACAGGGGTTTTTTGTTTTTTTTTTGAAAGTTTATTTTGTCAAGGTTGAGAATGCACCTGAGACAGCCTCAGGTAGTCCTGATGACATGTGCCCACGGTGGTCAGGGCACAGCTTGGTTTTATACATTTTAGGGAGACATGAGACGTCAATCAATACATGTAAGAAGTACACTGGTTCGATCTGGAAAGGTGGGACAACTCGAAGCAAAGGTAGAAGGACTGGAAGTGGGGAGGGAGCTTCCAGGTCACAGATTGGTGATACACAACTGGTTACTTTCTTTTGAGTTTCTGATTAGTCACAGGGGTTATTTTTTAGTAAACTGAATATATTTTCTCTTCTATTATCCTGCCATTTCCCAACCCAAATAATAATAAATCTCCACAATGACAACATAAAGGCATCTTTCATATATACATAGATTCAATTTTGAACATTTACTAAAGAATTATAGATGAGATTTCAGGTAAATTATTTTTATTTTTCAGATGACAAAAGTAAACTGAGACATTATTTGCTATATACTAGAGATGATTAAGGATGTTCCTCTCCTAGAAACTGAAACCTAACAAATAAAATGCTTATTAAAATTGCTATGGAGTTATAAAAATGAAATATATTTGCTCCACTTAGGCAAAAATAGAGCTACTTAACTAATGCATTCTTAATGATCATATATGGCTGTGAAGGTAATTTTCTATTTCTGAATAATCCTCTTTATTTATTTATTTATTTATTTTTATTTTGTTGTTGTTGTTGTTGTTGTTGTTGTTGAGACGGAGTCTTGCTCTGTCTCCCAGGCTGGAGTACAGTGGCGCGATCTCGGCTCACTGCAAGCTCCGCCTCCTGGGTTCACGCCATTCTGCCTCGGCCTCCTGAGTAGCTGAGACTACAGGCGCCCGCCACCATGCCCGGCTAATTTTGTTTTGTATTTTTAGTAGAGACAGGGTTTCATCATGTTAGCCAGGATGGTCTCAATCTCCTGATTTCGTGATCCGCCCACCTCAGCCTCCCAAAGTGCTGGAATTACAGGCGTGAGCCACCGTGCCCGGCCTGTAAAGGTAATTTTCTATTTCTGAATAATCCTCTTTATTTTTTTACAATCCTAAATGCACCCAATTTTCCTCTTTAAAAGATCTATGCAACACTTGCCTGAACACTAAACCACTATAGTATTTCTGTAAGGGTTAATTGAAGAATAGTTATGGAAGACTAGTGAAAAGTGGAAATAACTTTAGAATCAATGATATAATCAGAAATCCAAGGATAAATAAATGCTATTATCTCTAGATCACAGAGAATTATACAGAACACAAATTGTTAGGCAAATCTGGAAGTCAGGTATAAGGGAAGACAAGAAGCTGGGGGCTGTGAGAGTAAATGGGATTTTACTCTGACCTGACACTGAGATGAATTTACTACATCTCGCTCAATATCAGTTTCTAGAGTCTATTTGTTTTCATGTATATGGCAAGTGCTTTGAGTCTTCCAACTGTTGGAAAAAACAAAGCAAAAAAATAAAACCAAAATGTTTCACCCTTAATGATGTACTAAAAGAAAGAAGAAAGGAAGGAGAGAAAGAAAGAAAGAAAAGAAAGAAGAAAGAAGGAAAGAAAAAGAAAGAAAGAAAGAAAGAAGAAAGAAAGAGAAACAATAGAGGCAGTAATAGGTCCTGTGCTGAGTCAGCAGTCTCAAACATTTCTATATTACATGTGGAATTCAGCCAGAACAGAGCTTTAAATATCTTTTTCACAAAGAGTGACATAGAATAAAAATAATGAATTAAAATTGGTTCTTTCCTAGCATGACTGTTTATGATGTTTGTAAAAGAAATTTATGAGACAGACTCTCTTCCCAGTAAAATTTACTGATTGGTTTTTTTCTTTGACAAAAGACGTGAACGGAACAATTTTGCAATTGCCTGAAAATAATGCTGGATTTATTGCCTGGTCAGAATATAAGAGAAATTTAATCATCCATAACAGGTGCAAGTGATAGAGTCAGCAAAATCTCTTTCCCTAGTATAAATGAACCAGTAAAAACCATCTCACTACATATACATCATTGAAAAAGATGGCAGAGGCTTGGAGGCAAGGAAGAAGAGATAAAGCAGAAGACAGCTAGAAGATTAGAAATGGATAGAGAAGGGATGAACTGGGGTTAATGAGATTTGGCTTCTACATAGTTAGTATCTGTAAACCCGAAAGCAACTTCAAATATGAAATCAAGTTCCAAATAGAGAGATGAAGTAAAAGACTACCCCTCTAGAAAAAAAAAAAAAAGCCCTGTTGTGGATTGAATTTTGTCCTCCCCCAAATTCATATGTTGCTATCTTAATTCGTACTTCCTCAGAATGTGACCTTATTTGAAAATAGGGTCATTGCAGATTTAATTAGTCATGTTAAGGTGAGGTCATTAGGCAGTTCCCTAATCCAATATGACTGATGTTTTTATAAAACGAGGAAATTTGAACACAGAGACACACACAGGAAGAATGACATAAGATAAAGGCAGAGAATGGAGAGATGCATCTAAGTCAAAGAGTGCCAACAAACCCCCAGAAGCTAGGCGAAAGGCATGGGGCAGATTTTCTGTTTCACAGCTCTCAGAGGGAACCAACCCTGTAGATAAGTGAGTCTTGGATATCCAGCCTCCAGAGCTGTGAAACCATATACTTCTGTTGTTTAATCTGCCAATTTGTAGTTACTTTGTTAAAGAAGCCCTAGCAAACTAACATGTGCCCGAAACCTTTACTCTTGAATAATTGCTAAATAAAGCTAGCAACAAAAATTACTAAAATATTTGATTCCCCCATTTCGTTTTAAGGTAAATGAGAAAAGTCTAGTAGAGAAGCCTAAACTTATTAAGAAATATTTTATTCCAGTACATTCTGAGAGCACTGACAATTATTCCACAGTGAACTCTATAGTTCCTGTTTATAAGTATTGAAATTGCCTATTAGTTGGTTCTCCAATATCTGGATTTCTTAAATCCATGTTAAGCTTCATGAAAATCAAAGACTTTCTACCACTAGCATCTAGGAAAAGGCTAAATATGCAACTTTGCTTAATTTTTAAAAATCGAAGTAGTTTAATGTGATCTGCATTAGAGCCAAACATTTCTGAGTTTAAAATTTGGCTTTGTCACATGCACACACACTTACTTGACCTCAGTATGATCAAAATATTAGATATTGAAGATAAAATAACTATTAGCTGGCTAAAGTATTAGCCAGCATATGGAAGATAATAAATGGTAGCTATTGGTAAATAGCAAAATGTAGAGGAAGGGTTTTATATATGGAATGTATAGTTACAGAGTTGTATCAAATCTGATCATGGAAAGATGCCTCACTACCATGAAACTTGTTGCTCATCTCAATAAGTAGAATGATAGTGTATGTTGGATTGTTAAATAAACTAGAGCTTTATCTGGTAAGTTATAAGAATGCAACAAGTTATATAAACTCATCAAATATTAGTTATCTCTCCTTTGATATATAGAATAATTAGATGACTCCAGATCTGCATACAAATTGCATAGTACTCCCTTTTGAGAGATGGTTTTTTAAGCATTCTTGCTGCTAAAGTTGGGACAGTTGTCCTCTCCAAATTTCATGTTGAAATTTGATCACCAGTGTTGGAGGCAGGACCTAATGGCAGCTGTTTGGGTCATGGGAGACTATCCATTATGAATAGCTTAATGCCCTCCCTGGGACAAGGGTGAATGAATTCTCATACTATTAGTTCCCTCAAGAGCTGGTTGTTTAAGAGCTATGAACCTCCCTCCTCCTGCTTCTCACTCTTGCTTTCTCCCCGTACCATGTGATCTCTGCACATGTCAGCTCCCGTTCCCCTTTCACCATGAGTGAAAGCAGTCTGAAGCCCTCACCAGAAGAATATACTGGTGCCATGCTTCTTGTATAGCCTGCAGAACCATGAGCTAACTAAACCTATTTTCTTTATAAATTTCCCAGCCTCGGGTATTCCTTTATAACAAAATAATACAGACTAAAACATTTAGCTTTTTGTTTTGCTGGCTTGTGCCCTTATTGGGAGTTTCCATTTCTTGGTCCTGATGATCAAATGATTTTTAGATATTCAGACCTTTTAATTAAGTCCGAAGTCCAGAATTAGGTGGCCCAAGCAAAAATGTGTTGGAATCAGTGTCCTTTATCACCAGCCTGGATTTAGCAGCCAGATATATCTTGTTATTTACTTGGCCATATAGCAAGTGCAATCTTAAATCCAATTGACAAACGTCATGAAACAAGAGCTACCCTGTTTCTCCACTATCTCTCTTCCTTGGATATTAGGTCAGACTCATTGTACAGATTTAAAATATGGAGTAAAGTGTATTATAAGAATCCATGATGTTAGTTGGAATCCAAGCTTTTGTGACAAAAAGCAAACCAAACTAAGAGATTCCAAGTGAGGAGGAGCCCTTTTCTACTGCCTCTCCTTGCATCCTGCATGACTATTTTGTTCTTTACTGTCCAGATAAACTGACTTTACTTTGATTCTTTTTTTTATACTGCATAGTGTATGCCCACACATAGTCCCTATTTTACACGTTGGATATGCAGGTTCCTGAAAAGAGAAAATAATCCCACTCAGGTCCAATTACCAAATAGCCAATATGACTAGGCCAGCTTGTACTAAGTTTCTAACTCTAGTTAAATTGACTGAGGATGTAGGACTGGAATTCTCTTTTAATAAAAGCCCCCAGCATCCTACTGACTGAACTATATGAATGAAGGATGGCAGGGGTAAAGATTTCATGAAATAAAGTCTGGGAAGGAAATCAATCAAAAAGCTGTCTGATATCCCTAGTCCCATTCTATGTCAGGGACCTTGTCCTTACTCTTAAGAGAATTGAAAGAACAGTTCCCATGGCAACTCCTCCTCCTCATGAGTTGAATGATTGATTTGTCCCACTTCCCATCTATTCTGTAACTTCCTTGTTTGGGCAGATCTCAGAGCTGGGGCTGACACATGCTTGACTGTTGGCATGTTTTTTTCCTCCTAAAATCAAATTCTGAGTTTTGACACTTGGAAGCTCTTATTATGGATTTTAGCAGATCAAGATGTCCCTTGGATCACCATGACCAACCTGTATTGTTGTATTTATTTTCCTTTTGGTGTTGTCTTTCTCTAATGCCTGGTGTCTATTTTTCCAACCACAGTATGTCTAACACTATAACCTGCCTTTATGAAGATAGCAGAGAAACATTCACATTTTGACAGCTTTTGTCTCTGAGTAGCCTTCAGAAACACTTTTGTCTTCCTTGACACAATCTGTTGACATACAAGAGGAGACATGATTTTTCTCTCTCTGGAACACCACTACATTGGAATGGCCTTCTCACTTGACAAACCTTATGGCAGAGACCAAACTCTTTGCATGCTGACTGGTCAGCACTGGTTATTAACCTGCCAGCTCAGTTCTGATGCCTGGAGGAAAGACAACAGGGTTTTAAAGGGACAGTAAATATTCCATACAGCTCTGGACTAAACAGAGTTGTATCTTTGAAAGATTTATATTTATAGTAAACATAAATCAACTCTCTAAAGAAAATGAAAAAAATAGATGTCTACATAATTTACCAGCAGACCACCTTGCATAGTTTCAGAGTACACTGATGTGATTATCAGAAGAGTCCTGGTGATGACAGAAGGTTTAGATTCACAGTGAGGATAATAATTGCTTTCAATGCAAATGAGTGGAAGCATAAATAATGTAGTCTCAGGAGTAAACTTTTCTTGTTGGTATAAAATATCTGGTCCTAATAAGACAGGGTAGCTGAAGGTGTGGGAGGAGGTTAATCCTTCGTACTGCAATAAATTAAAAATTATGGAGACAATATATTAAATGCCATGTGTGTTGATTCTTTGTGATAAATATGCATTTTGATAGTTGAATGAATATAGGCTATTGAAAGGATTATGACCTCTAGGAAATAAAAACCTTAGTGAAATTTTCCTGATCTTGGGACAAATTTGTAAATTAATATACTGGACCAAAAAGTAGAGGGGAATTTAATGATATAATAAGTGTTTTTCTAAAAATAAAGTGTTGGCCTCAGATCAACCCAATGCATCCTTCCGGTTTACCCTTCTACTCCAGGACCAGAACAGGTGAACAGAAAAGCCACACCTATATTTTAAAATAACAGAGATAAGACACAGCCTAGTCAAAACTAAAACCTGGCTAACATGGCTTATTAGATTATTTATTAATTTTCTCATTCTCTTTAAGAAGAAAACATTTATAATGCCTAGTACACTTCTTGACACATAAGTGATGCTCAATAAATATTTGTGAAATAGATTTAAGAATGATTGAATCTTCATCATTGTCAATGGAAAAGTCAAGGTTTAGAGAGGTTGAGAAGAAGGTTCTCTTATGTAATCAGTTCCTAATTCAGCAGGAAAATAAAAACTGACATATTTTGAGATTTTGCATTAAGCCAATTATTCCAGACACAATGTACATAAATTCAGGCTTAGTTTTAAGAATAGCCTTTTTATTTTCTGTTTTATGGACAATTCAGCATTTTGTTACAATCAAGTAATATGCCAAAGAGATGACTTGGCTTACATGTAAGTTATTTGGGATTAAATCTCAAATAACTATAAGCGTTATTCTGACAACATAATGATTTTTGAAAAAAGTTTCAAGGTGTTTTATCATAACATTTTGAGAAAAAAATAGGGTGGTATTGTAGCAGTCCAAGGTGACCTTCTGAGCTGAAAATGAACCTCTCTTTTTCACTGAAATAAATGAACACACATTTTGTTTAGTGGTTTAAAAGAAACTGAGTGATTGAAAGAGGATGGACAATTTTAAAAAAAAAGTGAAAATTCTGAATAATGAGGCAATATATTTTTACTGAACACTGCTAGTTGTCAATTGTGTTAGATTGTCCTGGGTCATGTGAAAAATTTACCATTTACTGTTTACATCCCCAAAGAATCTGACAGGAACATGTTGGTCCACTTCTCAACTACTGCCATTTTTGACATAACACTTACCCTGGAAAATACTTTCTTACTGACACTGGAGTGAATATCTACTATAATCTGGGAATGTCTAAGCATGAATATGTGGGACTTTCTCCATCGAAATGGTGGTTCTAACATATTATCAATTTTTTTTTTTTTAGATGGAGTTTCACTCTGTCGCCCAGGCTAGAGTGCAGTGGTGCAATCTCGGCTCACTGCAACCTCTGCCTCCCGGGTTTCAGCGATTCTCCTGTCTCAGCCTCCCGAGTAGCTGGGATTACAGGCATGCACCACCACGCACAGCTAATTTAGTAAAGACAGGGTTTCACCATGTTGGTCAGGCTGGTCTCGAACTCCTGACCTCGTGATCTGCCCGCCTCAGCTTCCCAAAGTGCTGGGATTACAGGCATGGGCCACCACACCCGGCCACATTATCAACTTTTTGAACCTGATCTTTCCAGCCTACTTAATTGAGCTGGCTCACCAACTACATGTTTTCTTCTTTTTAACTGGAAAGTTAGGCTGAAAACTAGCATAGAATTTCCTCTTGACAAATATATAAAATGAAGAGGAATATCTCTGATCTTCCTTGAAATATAATATTTATTCTATTCTCAGAACCAGAAAAAATATCATTATAATTCCACCACTTTTGTGTAGGTAGAAGTTGTTTTATTATATCATATTATATCATTGTTATAACTTTCCATTAAAACGGTGCAAGATTTGTATGTGTGAATACAAGATAAAAATTTATTATTGAATATGTCTATATTTTATTTGTAAAAAATTTACTTTCTACACTAAATAAGTAGTATTCATTGGATATCTTTAGTTTCAAATAATTTTATCTACAATATCCAGAAAATTAGCCAATAATAGCAATCCTACTTCCTCTAAAAATACCTGATATTTAAAAGAGTAAACATGGAAAGCCATACTATATGACAAATGTTGCAGAAAATATAAATCACCCCAAAATTTGGTCTCCTCTTTTCAATCAGAATATAATCAATGACTTTTATACAGATTCCATTTTCAGATACCTGTTTCTACATCAATAGCTTCCAATGAGGGAGATTCAAGCAAAATATGATTGGGTGAAGATTTTTTGTAACATTATCTTAAAAGACAATTACTACTGGCCTTACCCCCTTATTCTTCATCTTTTTCTTCTGGGTTGGACTATAAATATGATGGTGAGATTTGGATCAGCCACATTAGACTATGAGTTCAAATTGGAAATAGAATTCAGGCTTGAAGTAAAAAGCTAGAGGATCCTGGTTCCATGAGTATATTAATATTTCCAATATCGTCTTTGGACTACCTACTTTTATACTCTATGTGAGAGGAGACTAAACTATGTATTGAATTTAAGATTCTTTTATGTCATGACTCTTCTAGTAAGTAAATTCAGTCCTTAGTTACAAAGGTAACTGTATCTAGGGATATTTTGTGTCTTGTCCTACACTAGATATTGGGGAAATATAAACATTCATAAATGTGAAGAAAATTTACTCAAATGGTATTCATCTAGAGGACCTAAAATTTTTTTTGGTTTCTTTAGCACCTCAATTATTCAAACTTGCACACTGAAGAATACTTTATGATAATATATGTATAGGGAATAATAGCAGAGTAAATCTTACTCATTTTAAAGGGTATTGGCTACATAATCTAGTACTATATAGTCCAATAAACAAGTTTAGTAAAATGTTTCTCCCTCTCCAAAGTCTAAATTTTATTATTTTATCACACTGAATTTATAAATTACTGATACATATTACAAGAAAATATTAAAGAAAAATACAGAGTAAAACATATTTGTTCCTAGGGGTGAGGGCTTATAGTGCCATGTATTGTAATACATAGGTCTTTTTAAAGTCAGGAAGCCTCTGGATTCAATGGCCAAAAAAGAAGAGACAGTAGAGGGGGTGAGAATAGAAAGAGAGAGAGTGAGAGTAGAAAGAGAGAGAGAGAGAGAGTCAGTGAGAGTAGAAAGGGAGAGAGTGAAAGGAGAGGGGGGGGGGGAGAGAGAGAGAGAGAGAGAGAGAGAGAGAGAGAGAGAGAGAGAGGTTGAGAATGAATGGAGCCATTGCAGCCAAATGAAACTGAGAGAAAGAAGAGAGAAAAGAAATGACCAATGTCCTATTGGTTTGTTTTTTTTTCCTTCAATTCATTGATAGAAAATAGGCTCAATGAGTAGCAGAATCCCTTTTTATTTATGTGTGAAATTCTTTAAATCTTCATTCATCCTTAAGGAAGATTAAGGGTGACTGGAGAGAAATAGAAGTTTTTTTTTTTTTTTGAGACGGAGTCTCACTCTGTCGCCCAGGCTGGAGTGCAGTGGCGCCATCTCTGCTCACTGCAAGCTCCACCTCCCGGGTTCACGCCATTCTCCTGCCTCAGCCTCCCCAGTAGCTGGGACTACAGGCGCCCACCACCACGCCAGGCTAACTTTTTGTATTTTTAGTAGAGACGGGGTTTCACCGTGTTAGCCAGGATGTTCTCGATCTCCTGACCTCATAATCTGCCCGTCTCGGCCTCCCAAAGTGCTGGGATTACAGGCATGAGCCACCGCACCAGGCCGAGAAATAGAAGTTTTAATGTAACTCAATTTGTGATGAAGGTGGGACCCTTTATTATTTATTAATTCATCTATATAAATAAATATAGATGGCACTCAGGCTATATTGCTGAGTGAAGTCATGGAAAGATAAATTAATAAATAATGAAGGATTGGATAAGTGATGTCAAAATGTTGCACTACTAATTCTTCAAAAAATTCTCTCTATATTAATATATATACATACCACATAGACATATATACACATATATACACACACTTGTGTATATATGTATGTATGCCTACACATTTACATATGGTCACTCTTGAAATATAAATATAATTTTAAATTTACTTATGGTAAAATCACTGTTGTTTGGTTTATGATTCTGTAAATTCAAACATATGTATACATTTTATCACCATCACCAGAAACAGAACAGCATACAGAACAATTCCATAACCCCCAAAATTTATTTTGTGCAGCTCCACAGCAAACACTACTCCAGCTTCTAACTCAGGCAACCAGTGATCTATTCTCCATCTCTGTAACTTTATCTTTTCCAGAATGTAATATATTTGGAATCAGATAATATGTAACAGTTGAAACAGGTTTCTTTCACTTAGTGTAATGCATTTGAGACTGATTCAAGTGTTGTGTTTATGGATAGTCTGTTCCTTTTGATGCTAGGTAGTATTTCATTATACCACAATTGGTTTATTTACTTATATTATTTTTTAAAGAAGCCCAAACACATTTTCTTGCTGTATTTGTGTTTAATTCTCCATCGATAATGAGCAATCATGAAGATGGCCTTCTGCAGTACAACATAGTCACAGGACTGAGGCGATTCATCGGCACTGAGAAGGAGTATGAGGATCACAGAGGGGGGGCTGCCTCTTGCTGTTTCATGTTAGAGACAAACTGTAACACAGTCCATGGGCCTGCAATCTTCCCCTTTTATTATCTGGTAAACGATGTAGTCTTCCACTTAATTCCGGAAGTCCTAGTTGTCCCGCAAGTGATGTTCTGCAGCTTCAATATTCAGTGGATCATCAAAATTCACAAGATCAGTAAAGAAAGAGTTTAATCCCCAAACAATATCCTTTATGGGATGTTCTCGTGGGATCCCAGCCAGTGTAGTCAATTGAATGTTCTCTCAGTAAACTCAGATATACTTCTCCTGTCTCTGTAATGTTGTGGTGCCACATCCTGCTCAGGCATTTCACTTTGGGAGGCGCCATGATGTACGCATGGGAACCTCAGTTCAAATGGAAATTTTCCACCCTGTAACCCCTCATCTGGTTACAGTTAGCTGAAAACAATGAGGCTGGTTTGGATCAAGAAAAGACACTTTACATGTAGAGGGTAAATTAGCTTCAAGCAACTTGTCTCTCACAGAAACCCTCCAAGTGGAGTCGGACACTGTGGCTGCCGTTGGGACCCTTTGAACAACAGTTTTTGTTGTTGTTTGTTTTCCATGTTTTGGTGACCAGGATAATGCTTCCATAAACATCCATGTGCAGATTATTGTTTGAATACGAATGGACATTTCTCTAGAGTAAACACCTAGAAGTGGGTTGCTGAGTCCTGTGGTCAGTGTAAGCTTTTTTTTTTTTTTTCTGAGACGGAGTCTCACTCTGTCGCCCAGGCTGCAGTGCTGTGGCACAATCTCGGCTCACTGCAAGCTCCGCCTCCCAGGTTCACACCATTTTCCTGTCTCAGCCTCCCTAGTAGCTGGGACTACAGGCGCCTGCCACCACTCCTGGCTAATTTTTGTATTTTTAGTAGAGACGGGGTTTCACCACAATTGGCCAGGCTGGTCTTGAACTTCTGACCTTGTGATCTGCCCACCTTGGCCTCCCAAAGTGCTGGGATTACAGGCGTGAGCCACTGCGCCTGGCCCAGTGTATGCTTTTTAATAAGAAAATCCTGCCGGTCGCGCAGTGGCTCATGCCTGTAATCCCGGCACTTTGGGAGGCCGAGGTGCGTGGTTATGAGGTCAGGAGATTGAGACCAACCTGGCTAACACGGTGAAACCCTGTCTCTACTAAAAATGCAAAAAAATTAGCCAGGTGTGGTGGCATGCACCTGTAGTCCCAGCTACTTGGGAGGCTGAGGCAGGAGAATCGCTTGAACTAGGAGGCAGATGTTGCAGTGAGCCAAGATAGGCCCTTGCACTCCAACCTGGGCAACAGAGGGAGACTCCATCTCCAAAAAAAAAAAAAAAAAAAAAAAAATATATATATATACACACACACACACACACCAGACGGTTTTCCAGAGGGACTGAACCATTTTGCATTCTCACCATCAATTTTATCAATTTTTAAGAGTTCCAATTACTCTCTATCCTTGACAGCACTTAGTATTGTCATATTGTTATCTTTTAAATTTATTTTAGCAATTCTAATAGGTGTGTATTTCTGTGTCATTCTTGTTTTAATTTGCATTTCCTTAATGACTCATTGATGTTGAACATTTTTTCATGCACATATTTTGCTACCACTATATTCTTTGCAGTGCAATGTCTGTTCCATATTTTGCCCGTTAAAGTTGGGAGGTTATTTGTTTTCATGTTTGTTTTCTCATTTGTTTTCTCTTTATGTTTCCCGAATACAAGTTTTTTGTTAGGTATGTGACTTGAACCTTTTTTTTCAGTTTGTGGCTTATCTGTTCATGTTTCAACAATGTCTTTCACAAAACAAACTTTTAAGGTTTTATGAAGTTCAATTAGCTTTCATTAATCATGATTTTGGTTTCTTTAATAACATTTTGTCTAATTCAAGGTCCCCCCAATTTTTTTAATGTTTTCATCTCAAAATTTATTTTTGAAATAGATTTATCCTTTACATTTAACTCCATGATCCATTTAGAGTTAATGTTTATACAAAATATAAAGTTTAAGTCAAGCTCATTTTTTGGCATATAGATGTCCAATTATTTCAGAAATATTTATTGAAAAGACTATGCTTTCTCCATTGAATTGCCTTTGCAACTTTTTCAAAAATTATTTGACCATATTTATTTATATTTCTGTACTCTCTATTTAAATTTTTAAACAGTATGCAATAAAACAAAAGCTGGCTTTGCAAAGTCACTTTAAGTAAAATATTTAAAAATATATATATAAAACCCTATGTACCCATTATTTTTCCCTCTCTACATTTACTCAGATATTTACCTTCTTTTTCTTTTGTTCTTCATTCATTACCATTTCTCTTCCATTTGCATTTTTTAAAGCATGTTTATGGGTGACAAATTGTCCTAATTTTCTTTCATCTGAGATTGTGTTTCACTTTTGATCCTGAAAGATAGTTTTGCTTGATAAGAATTCTCAGTTTACTTTTAGCTTCTCCTCTCAGCACTTTAACAAATACTATTCCACTCTCTTGCCACATCCATCAATTCTGATTAGAAACCTGCAGGTATTTGAATTATTTCTCCCTCTATGCAATGTGTGGTTTTTCTCTGGCTGCTTTTAAGACTTATCCTTTATCTTTGGTTTTCAAGAGTTTCACTATAGTGCCCCAGAATGGTTTGATTTCTGCTTATTCTGCTTGGAGTTGGCTGAGTGTTTTGGATCTGTAAATTTATGTCTTTTATTAAATTTGTAAGGCAGTCAACCATTGTTTATTTAAATATTTTGTCAGTATCTATGTCTTGTTATCTTTGCTATTAGTCCCTAATGACACAAATGTTAGCATTTCTGATACTGTCACACAGAGATTGCTAAAATTATTTTTATTTTGTTTTAATCTTTTTTCTCTCTGATGTTCAAACATTATAATCTCTATTGATCTATTTTCATGTCTAGTGATCTTTTCTTATGTTACATCTGCCCTATTATTGAGCTCTTTCGGTAATTAAAAAATTTCTCTTATTGAGTTTTTTTGGTTCCAAAATTTTTATTTTAAAGACTCTATTTGTTTTCCAAATTTTCTGTATTTTTATTCATTTGAAGACTATGATTATTTCATGGAACATAATCATAACAGATGCTTTAAAGTTGTTATGAGACTCTGCATCTTATTACAGCTTTGTAGACAGCTACTTTCTTCTTTAAAAAAGTGAAACTACTTTGATTAAGACCACAAATTCTGAACCACCTTTTTTCAGAACCATAGTTTTAATAAGTTTAATTTTCAAAGGCTTTGCTGCATAATTCTGGTACATTCAGTGTGTGAAAGATCTAAGGTTCATTATGGATTTGGAAGTGATCCAGACTTATATGTAGTCTTAACCTTTGTATTGTTAATTCTGATCAGTTCCACATGTGATCAGTTCAAAGTACAGCCCAAAATCTTATGTGTACATAAATTCCAAGTGTCTCTTTTTTCCCACACCCTGTAATCTCCATGCTGTTGAATTTCCGGTGGCCCCTGTTCTGCTGTTGCAGATACTAAACCTGAAGTTTTAGGGCACCCATTCTATTGCACACATCCTATGACCGGGTTAATGTTGGTGTAAAACAGCAAGATAAAAGAGTCTGCAAAGCTGCTGCTGTTGCCACTGCCACCTCCACCTCTTTTGCCTCTGCTGCTTCCATCATAAGCATCCAGTTTGTTTCTGGAATTTGTCTAGCACGATGCTAGAAGAATCGAAAAAGCTTCATCCTTTAACCCCCCACACCAAGATCTCATCCTTTTGTCTAGACAAAGTGTGTGTTTTTTTTTTCTTCTTAGAACTCTTTCTATCTATATCCATCAGCAATTCTGAGATAAGGTATTCTAATCAAGAAGCTACTGAAGAAAAAATGAGCAAAAAAAAAAAAAAAAACCAAACAAACAAACAAAAAAAAACATACACAGCAAATCAGGACAGCAGCAAAAAGCAAAACAAAACAAAACAAAAAACCACAAATGGAAATTTACCACTATATGGTCATTTGAAGGTGGTGGCGATTTCCCTACTCTATGTGCCAGCTCTTACCTACTGCTCAGAGCCCTCTGGTAGACATTTTACTTTTTTTTTTTCCAGTATTCTTGGTAGTAATCAGTTAGCAAGATGAGCTAGATGTGCATATTCCATCTTAACTGGAACTGGAAATTTCCTGCACCAACAATTTTTAAGAATCTCAGAGTCCAATGGGCCATTATTATTGACATGAGAGACATATATTTAAGAGAGGTGAGAAGAACACTATTTTGAAAAAGAATATTCTGTATTGCTAATTAGAACTCTATAATTTGATTACTGGAAAGAAAATGGAAAGTCATTTACTTAGAGATAGCATGTAAAGACTCCTTGCTAGTGAAGGATAAAAAATGAAATGAGAAGAGGAGAGAGAGAGAGAGAAAGAAAGAGACAGGGACAGAGAAAGAGATACTATTCTATATATGAATTTCCAGAAGTTAGTAAAAAATATTTCTCACCTATTTATTTTTATAAGTAACATTTTCCTTGGTATAACATATTTTATGTTCAAGAAACTTATATGTGTTTGTGAGTGTGTATCTTAATTGTTTGAACTGTAGAAAAGCAAATGTTGAATAACTGATCGAGGTTTGTAACCCAGAAAGACTAAGATGTCAGCACAATATAATAACCACATACTTGGAGAAATAAATTATAAGTATTATGGCTAAATAGAAAATTATGATCCAAGGTTTTCATAAGCCACTGTTGACGCAGAAGATGGTGGATAAGATGAGATAAGGGTTAGAAAGCATTGTCACAGGGAAACCAAAGGAAAACAGTTCTGGTGTCAGTCTAGTCAGGGAGAAAGTTATTGTCATGTTAAATAAACACAAATGCCTCTAAAAGCAAAGAGTCCCAGGATCCCATACTTAGGATCTGTTAGAGAGAATGTAGGCGTCTGAACTGTATATGCAAGGACTGAGCCTAGGGAATGAGAGGACGTTCAATTGATTAGAGCAGTAGGATGCTTTCATTTCCATTCTAGGCTGAATACTTTGACAACAGTGTGAAGATAAACCCATTTGCAACTGTCATTACTGGAAGGAGAATAAGCAGTTAGGATCTATGGGAATAACCTAACAGAAGGGAAAATAGCTTCACAGAAGTGGAAGAACGATTTTCTGAAGCCATTTCTATGATTATGAAAGTTGAGCAGAATTTTCATAGATGTTTAGGCATCCTTAGAATGGATAGGGCATGGTATTTTGTTGTAGGCCTGTCACTGGGGTGGTTATAAAGAGGGAGGAATTACGGATGCATTTCAGGTTTCCAGTCTGTGAATGTAGCAGATATTGGGACAAGAGAGGTAGTCAGGCAGTAAGAAAGCCAAAAAGTACAAAAAAGAGAAAGAGAAAGGGAGAGAGGGAGAGAGAGAGAGAGAGAGAGAGAGAGAGAGAGAGAGAGAGAGAGAGAGAGAGAGAGAGAGAAATGGTGGGATAAAAAAAGGGAAAGATTGTGATGTTTTTAAATGGATATTTTAAGATCTGTAAATCACAAAATTTGTGATGTCTAATAAGTAGTTGGAATTGCAGGACTAGAATTCCTACCTTGGATCCTGGGAGATTGGCTCCAGAACCAGGAGTTTACAGTTAGAGAAGGATCATATTTTAGAAATGTGGGTTAGAGGAATTGCTCTGAGAGCACAGAAATTATTACCCCCAAATTGTGGTAACAGCATATTTCTCCATTAACCTGGTTTCTTGAGATACTAGAGTTGGATAGCCCTGGGGATGCTTTATTTGTAAGTGCCTGGGAGAGATAAAGAGAGTTAGGTGGTATGAATCTCATTAGGGGTGTTATTGATTATAAAAAATTATCTATTTTTGCTCATACTGCACAGGCCATATATCTCATTCAAAAAATAGAAACATTCTAAAGCAGTTGAAATTATTTCTAGTGGACTATTATTAATTAATTTTATATCTACAGCTAAGGATGCAAGTCAGAATAATTTTGATAATGTTTTCATGAAAAAAATTTTTCGAAAAGTTTGAGGAGACACTTATATATAATGGAGAAGATATATATAATGAGAAAAAAACATTTGTTTTTAGTCTTTTATCTGACTATTTTACTTGCATCAACTTTAATTACAATTTATATCATTTCTACACAAAACCTTGGATTTGAGCTCTTATCTGGGCAAATTAGACATACTGTTAAAGTTTGAACCATGAAAGCACACTGAATCATTTCTCCCCAAATGATGCAGATGCTTAATTAATCTTGAATTCAATACTATATGTAAACTGGGTCCATTTCAAATCTAATACATGTGTTAAGTAAAGTCCATTTTCACCACTAAATCAGAATACTTCTTCTCTATTTTGGAAATAAAGTTGGATAGAGAACAGAAAATTGTCTACAAATGAGCCTATTCTTGATAAACTTCTAGTGAAAGGATGTAAGATAAGTCTTTATTTAATATTTGAGCTGAATCTAGTATATGAATGTCAAGCCGTTTATTGCTGCTGGAGGATTTTCTTTAAAAAAAATCATGTTTAGCAGGAAGCAATGTGACAATTTCCACTATAAGCTTAGGGAAATAATGAGTAATTTAAGGCACAGAATTGTTTTATTATCTCTGAAGCCCCATGACTTTAGACTCCTTGGTTTGAAGCAATGAAAGGAAATATAGAGAGAATTAATACTATCAGCTAGTGCTTGAGGAGCTCAATGATGATCAACTATGCAGTAATAAAAATGTAATTGATTATCTTTTAGTCTGAAAAGAGAAGTGACTATATTATCTAGTACTGTATATATTTTGATTAATTTTTTTATTATCTTTATATTTTGATTAATTCTTTTCTTTAGAGAAAATACTGTTACTATATATATTACATACATAACAGTAATAATATAAATGTATTAGCTATTGACATAACACCTATTTAATAGGATACACATTAAGAACTAATAGAAAGTTACAGAATAATGAATGAAAAGTACACACACACACACACACACACACTCCTGGGATATAGGAAAATTACACTTTAGAATTCAAGAGACCTGGGTTTGAATGACATATCTGCTGTTGAGTTTGGGCAATACATTCCCTCTTTGGGCTTAGTTTCCTCATTTTAAAAAGTAACATGACAGTCCCCATCATATGATGTTGATGTGAAGAACAAATAAAATAAAATTTAAAGTATTTACCAGAATGCCTGGCACATAGACAACATCGATATACAGTCCTAGTTTTTGCTACCATTACTGTGTTGCTTTGATTGTTGTTATCAGAAGACTTGTGTTGATGTTAGTAATCTTTGTTGAGTAATGAATGTGAGAACTTAACAGATGTGGCTGTATGGGTCCTAATTGGTTGAATCCAGCAAATGGCACGTCTTTGTCATCCCAACTGGTATAGTGTCATGTCACAGACTTCCACTGTTACCAGGTCATGGTGGGGGCAGTGATCAGGGGGATGAGTAAGTAGCAGGTTCTTGAATGTTGCTACCTGAAACGGGACTAGATCAATAAAACAAGTGGGCAGTGTGTCTCTCTTTAGCTCTATCCTTCTCCACAACCAAAAGAGAAATAAGAGTTACAATAAAATGTCTTGCAGATGGCCTTGACGATGACTGACATCTTAAAAATACCATTCTCGATGTGAGCTTGATAGAGATTCATAAGATGTGTTGGGGAAGAAGAAATGGGTTTTTGAAGCGTGAAACACACTTCTATGAGCATGCCGCTTTGCTCAGATGAACGGAAGTAGGAATGGTGGTTAATAATTAATCTGTTCCTTGTGAATTCCAGAATGAATTCTGACTGACTTAAGTGCAAAACAGAACAGAGCTAGGCAGAAGAAAACAAAAAAGGAAAAAATGAAGAAAACAATATGAGATTTTGGAGGATATATATCACCATCTCCATGCCTGAAACTTCCTCAGATTTGGGCTATTTTTGACTGGGTAAGGGGCAGGGAATAAAAAGAGGGGTGTCATATCATTACTTTGAGTGAGCTCGTTTCTGAAGCTGGCTGAAGCATTTTATGACCTATTGCTGTGCCACACCTCCATCTGTACTTCTCGTCTCTCTTGTTCATCCAATTAGAGATGGAAATTTACTGCAATACAACAGCAATGAGAAGGTGGTAAGTGGACAGGTGGCTATATATTCTATTTGATGGTGCTAAAGTGATTGGAGGAAGGACAGAGAAAGACAAGAGCATGGGAGCAGAGCACAAAAGAAATTATATATTACTGGGGAATGCTTAGCACATAACGGCTCCATCCAAACCTCGGCACTAAGGGACAATCAAACTCTAGCGTGGCTTTTAGAAGCATAAAGCCTTGTTCCTAGGATGACCACAGCTCCCCATTAAAATACTTGAGAAAACTCAGTGTTGCCAGGAGAATTTACTGTTTGTTCTAGCCAACACCTTCCCGTACTTGGAGAACTTACCTAAAAAGGGCATACACGTGTGAACCCATCCTCTTCCCTTTGAGAAAAAATATGTAACTTCTACAATTCAGGAGTGTCTTTCTCAAGGACCTGAAAGCCATTTTTTTAAAAATGTAATTATCTGAAAGGAGAGAGCCTCCTTCAGTTTCTGTGGATGGATGAAATCCTAACTTTGATGATTACCAGGTAGCAGACACAGCTGATCTAATGACATTAGCCCTCACCAATCTTTTGTAAGTTTTTCACTTGACCCCACTTGCCTCCCCTCAATAGCCCTTCATCCTCCCTCTAAAATGCCCAGTTGCCTCTGCTCAAATAGGGAGCAAGCTCTTTCCCCTATTGTTAATAGTTGCTGAATAAAATTTATTTTAACTGCTTTAACTAATGTCCAGCTCTATTTTTCACAGACAATCACATGATTTTATTTCATTCTATCTTATCTTATGTTACTTCTATCAAGGGAAAAATTTTAGACTACTTCTAATTTTCCAGCAGTATATTTGCCTCCACATCTTCAAGGATTCATTCCATGATCATATACTATTATAAGATATGTTAAATATCCTGAGGTCTTAGCATATGAATAGAAGGCCTGTCTAGCTAATGGCTGACATTAATATGCTAATAGTATCTTCCCAAATAATAACGGGGAATGAAAAAGAAAAATCTAAGCTCCATCTATTGGCAACATGGCTTGGATCAACCTTTTCTTGCCCAAATGTTTCAAGAGAAAAAGAGACTTGGAGATAAGTTCCTGAGACATGAAAGATGGAAATTGTTACATTGAAAAACAAAACCAAAAGAAGAGAGACAAAAAAAACTTTAAAAATACTTGTTTAAAAAACCAAATAACATTTTAAAATTTGTCTTCCAAATGACTATATATAGTAAGCAAATTAATTTATAAAAATTTTATGACCATCTTAAGACAAATTTGCTAATTTTAGTATATACAATATACTAAAACTTAAAGAAGTATATACATAAGGAACTTAAAGCATGGTGCATTTGTATGGTCAAATATTCTGCAACCAATAAAATTGTGCTATTTTCTTTTTTTAATTGAGACAGAGTTTCTCTCTTGTCGCCCAGGCTGGTGTGCAATGGTGGGATCTCGGCTCACTGCAACCTCCGCCTCCCAAGTTCAAGAGATTCTCCTGCCTCAGCCTCCCAAGTAGCTGGGATTACAGGCACCTGCCACCAAGCCCAGCTAATTTCTGTATTTTTAGTAGAGACAGGGTTTCACCATGTTGGCCAGGCTGGTCTCAAACTCTTGACCTCAGGTGATCCACCCACCTCGGCCTCCCAGAGTGCTGGGATTACAGGTGTAAGCCACCGTGCCCAGCCCAAAATTGTGCTATTAAAGGGCATTTGATACCATAGGAAAATAACATGAAAATCTCTGAACCAGAACACACATTTTTATATATAGTATGACCCTAAAGTAATAGTATATTAACTCACTTGTATACAAACACACTCATTAATTATATATGCATACACGTAGACAGTCCAATAGCAGTATATGATTTCCAAAATTCAGTAGGTCATTTATTCTGAATAATGAGATTATAGACAATATCATTTTCTTTTTCATACCTTTTGTCATTTGCCTAATTCCTTCGAGTCAGCATAGACTATTTTATAATTAGAAAAAAAGTACATAAATATAAACATTATATGTAGCATCATGAGATGTGACAGCCATAAGAAATCATTAAAGTGTGTGAAACCCTTGGAAGTAAAGCATAATGCTCAAAAATAAAGTGTGTTGTTACAGAATTATATTGCTATAGCGAGCTACTTTAGAATGACAGTGATCTTATTTATCTTTCTGGCCCATCAAACAAGCTTGACAAATATATGATGACTAAATGAGCATCTATGAATTTTCTAGAAAATGTATATTTGAATATTCTTTATTTAATTAGACACAGAAGCTTATTATCCATTTTACCAAAATTTAAATAAAAATTTCCTGCTTTTACAGAAAAGAAAAATTGAAGTCTGGATAAATTTTCAGAGAAATTTAGTGGGAAAGATGGAGTAGATTATTCCAACTTCATATTCGATGGTGTCCCCATTTTCTTAAAACGTTTTACTTAATAAGCCTTTACTGAGAATTTGCTTTGTGCAAAGTTTTAAATGAGACAATAGTGCCAGGCCGAAACGTACCCTAGACTTTAGAGCTGTCTTTCACAAGAATGCAAATGCTGGGGTTGGCTGGAGAATATGTGCTTTTGGAAGAGATATGGTTGGTACTAGGAAAGGAAGGTGGGACGAGAGTCAACTCACATATACCCCCAGCTATTTCAACATTTCTCGTGTAGATGAACATGCTGTGACATAGGAAACAACATCAACATCATCTCTATATTCTTTACAAGCATAAAGGTAGGCACTGAATTTTGAGGAAAGGATTTGTTCTTTCTAATTTCCAAACCGAATGTGGGTCATTCTTGAAGACAATGAAATAAACTGTGCACATTCATTCATATAGCCCCATTGATGAAATCAAGAGACAATGACATTGAATTCTCCAATTCAAAAAGCTCCCAAGATGAGCAGTAAAGCAAATTACTAAGTGCTCTTAGTTTATCTAAGCCCAAATTTTATGGTGGCAGATGTTAATTCATCTCTGCCTAAGAGAAACCTCTAACAAAAACACAAACTATGTCAACTGCAAAATGCTTTTCTCAAAGGTCATGCCACAACTAGAGGGCTCTCAAAAGTGTTTTAAAGTATTCTTTGCTGGAGAGAGTTGATTTAATCACCTGTAACCTGTCCTCTGGGGATAATTTGAATTTGATAGCACTCTGCAAAGACATGTTTTCAGGAAAGAAAATTCTGAAGATACTTTCTGTAAAAAGCCTAACACAAACAACGCAAACTTTTATAGACCCTCAATTTATTTTCATATAGTATGAAAAGTACAAGATTTATTGCTTTGTTCTTGTTTGTTTATTTAATAAATATGTCTTGTTTTCTCCAGCAATGCTACCAGGAGCCAAAATGACTCAAGTGCAAGAAATATTTCAAAGCTAAGAATAAGAAGAAGCAATAAAGAATTGAGCTTAATTTTTGTCACAAATCTAATCTGACTGTTCTCATAATGCTTTCTTCCCTGGGTGCCTCTGCTTTAGAACTTTGTGTCAAGTAAGCAACAATTAACACAGACTTAAGAGTGCAGCTTATATATTGAAAATGACGCTTTCACTTTTTGCAGGGGCTTAGGAATATATATATATGTTATGATTTTCAACGATAACCAGGTATTATCATCTGGGATGAGCCAATTTGAAAGTCGATGTTTTTCTGTTAAGGTTTTAATCATTATAATTTGAACCAAGATCATGACACTGGAGGGGGAAAAGGAAGTGATTTCTTTACTATTTGACTTTCAGAAATAGCTTAAATGACTGTTTTAATTAGCTTTCAAGGAAGGGCCTGGAAGTAGCTGGAGGAAAGTAGATTGGGTAGATTTTCCCCAAGGAATTTAAATACTAGCATTTACTAAAGTGTATTATGCAGAATACTACATCTTTGAAATATGATTAATTGAAAAACAATGAGATTCTGTGATCAACTATATTTAGAAAAATATGCATTTAAATAAAATTTTATCTTACTGTACATTTCTCATAATATTTTTTTTCCTAGCTACATGGGCATTATCAATTTCCAAGAATAGTATAAAATAAACAATTTTCCAAACTTGATTGGTCCCACAATACTTTTTTTTGCTAAACATTTAATGGAGAAGAGTCTTTCATTGTCATGCCTAGGTAAGAACATTATTTTAATCCAGGCATCTTCCACACATGTGATTGACACAAACTTTTTTTCTTTTTGAAGGGAGCAAGAGTGGGAAGTAGGTGAACTAAGTTATTTAGAATACAGAATTGTTAGAATTTTAGCACAGTATTAAGCCATTTGTCTGATGGAATAAATTGTTTCTGTGTTTTTCTAAGGAGTCAGGCATTATGGTAAGAATTCTCCAATATATGAGATAAGTTCATTCTATCTACATAGTTAAGGAAAATGAGACTCATGAAATTAAAGTAATTTACATAGAATTGTGACAAATCTGGGAATTGGACTTAATTCTGATGCGTCAACCCTCCCTATCGCCCAGCACAGATGATAAATATTGTTGGCGGCTGTGTGAATGATACTTAGACCTTGTCTCAGACCAAAGCCAAAATTGATTCCAACAGAGCAAACTGAGCCAGTCAGACCATCATCACTTTGCTATGAAGAGTAATGACTCATATACAGACTTCAGAAGACAGATTAAAAATATGTTTCCAATCCATTGCTTTCCCTGCATGATTTAAGATTTTAGAAACCATTGAGGTAGAAGGTAGGACAAAGCTTGTCATGCTTGTATACAAGAATCAGACACTCTCCTCAAGATTTTTATTTAGAGTATAGTGATTTGTATGTTTAATTAACTTCCCAGGGAACACTCTTTTAGGTAATCCTTGAGCTATGTTTTAGGAAGCTCTGATGCAAAGAATATAAAACATAGCCAGCTATTGCTAATCTAGAAAATATAAGTGTCTAGCGAAGATCAGTATGTTAATTATTCCACAGTACAAAAAAATTGTTGGACATGTAAGTAAAGGAGATGAAAGTCAGAATTTATTAGATCTTCCCGCTGTTTTAAAAAGGCTCTGTATCTGACTCTGTTTTAAAAGCTAGCTTGGATTAGGGAAACATAATCTACTACCTATTGCTTCTGATTTAATAATTCATTCTTTAAAGACCTTGCCCTTAGGCTTGTGCTTATTTTTATATCCATGTTCAATTCATACTTACAAATATTTAGGTGGCTAGTAGATTGGCTCAAAGTGGAGTACAAAAGGAAGTCATATACTAGTCCTGCATTCCAACATCATAGGCTGTCATTAGAAATGGGAGGGTAGGCTGGGCATGATGGCTCACGCCTGTAATCCCAGCACTTTGGGAGGCCAAGGCGGGCAGATCATGAGGTCAGGAGATCAAGACCATCCTAGGCTAACACGGTGAAACCCCGTCTCTACTGAAAAAGTACAAAGAAATTAGCCGGGTGTGGTGGCGGACGCCTGCAGTTCCAACTACTCGGGAGGCTGAGGCAGGAGAATGGCGTGAACCTGGGAGGCGGTGCTTGCAGTGAGCCGAGGTCATGCCACTGCACTCCAGCCTCGGTGACAGAGCGAGACTCCATCTCAAAAAAAAAAAAAAAAAGGTAAATCACGTAAGAAAATAAAGAATGAAATTTTGTTTTCTAGAACAGCAGTTGCATTGGTCTGATTACAGGTTTTTCTTTTCATCGTTTAAAAAATTGCTCTGCTTCTTACTTCAAGAAGCAGAAGAGGGCTGTACACTGGACACAAAATGTTGAGGTTTTGTACATTTAAATAGCCGGGGATATTCTAAATTAGCCCAGCTCTACAAAATCCAGAAATTTAGATATTGTAACTATTGTATCAGGCAGAACTTGAAATAACAAAATTTTAAAACAGTAAGAAGAAGGTGGTAGAGAAACAAGAGGTGTGGAGGTATGGGAAGGTGTGCAAAGAACAGAGAGAAATGAGGTGAAAGTGTCAGGAGACAGAGGCAGGAGGGAGAGAGAAGACAGATCAAGCATGAGAGTGAAAGAAAAGGGAAAAGAGCAAAGAACAGGAAAGAGGGAAGAATAAGGAGAACGCATTCTGCCTGTGCCTCTGGTTTTCCTGCTGCAGGGAGCATCCTAGGGGATAGAAACACCAGCATGGACATTCAAGTTTTGCTCTCCTTCTTTCCAAGGACCATCCAGCAGAAATTAACCATAGGAAGCAAGATATAAATAGAGTTATATGAAGATAATGTTAGATATTCAGATAAACCAAAAAGAAAAAAAAAAGAATACACTGGCATTCAAAGAAAGGCAAAAAGAACGGAAGTGAAAGAGTTGACTAAGTTAAGACCCCACCAGCAGGAAGCAGAAGGCTCCATCCAGGGCTGATATCAGATGTCATGTTGCTAGGTGAACAGGTGAACATCAGGTAAGGAGGAGCAGATGTCCAGAACAAAGATGACATCCACACTGAGGGTATGAGCAGTGTGAGGACTAAAACTAGGAGACAAAGAACACAGCAGTGCAATTGAAGGGGAAAAGATCACAGGATGGTTATTGCAAAACCAGGAAACTTCAGGCATGTGACCCCTTCCTGAAATTTACCATCTATTGGCAAACACATGTGTAGCTAATATTTATATATGAATTTGTTCATTGTTTAATAAGCATATTTCCATCGGCCATGGAAGTATTGTTCATCTTAGGAAACCTATACGAACAGAAAAAAAGGGTAAACCAGTTTATGAATTCCAAAGGTCCAGGTCCAAGTACAAGTACTGAGACTTAAATGTGGACTTCTCAATTGAGAAAATACCAGTTTTTTATTTATCCACTGAACTTATACTGTTTCAATTGTTGTGTTATTCTACTGACCTCTTTTTCCCCCAGCTGTTTTCTATTTATCTGAACAAACAAAGAAATAGTAGCAGAAAGTCACTGGGGGAAAGTAAAACATTCTTGAATAGACCAAGAAGAGCCCCGGTTTAGGAATAAAGTAGTCCTCTTCAGCACACGTCATACAGACAGCTCTCGTATTTGGTGTCTTGCAGAGAGACAGATAATATCACAGCGTGCCACAGAGACAAAGAACTAAAGGACCAAAACAGAGCCCTCAGAAAGGAGTTGTGGTATTGATTTTTTTTATTAAATCACATTTCTCTGAAAATGGAGAATTTAAGTTTCTAAGAGAAAAGATGCCTTTGGCTTTATGCCTCCCTGATTTCCAAACTCTAGGAAAAAACTAGGGAATATGATAAATATTTCAAAGAAAATCTATGCAGATATGCAACCTAGTGCTGGCAAAGGGACTAGAATCAACTTTTCTTGATTTCAAGTCTGATACTTTTTATGTTTTTAAGGACACATTAAAATAATTTGTGGGCAAAATTATTTCCATGGGTAAAATAATTATTCTTCTCCCATCACATCTTCCCTTTGGATAGTTTCTGAGAAGTCCTGTGGGATGGAGCAGTATTTGGCAAAATTTTACAAGAGGAAGTATAAACCAGAACTGGAGGATTTGCCAAACTAGAATGTCTTCCTTCCCTGCCAAACATAATGGAAATACCCACATATACAGAAAGGGTTTCAGGTAATCAGAGAGGGTTGAGCTGGGATCCCTGCCTCCTCTCCTGTCTCTACAGCAGTCTCAAAATGAACAACTGTTATAAAAAATGGACTAATTCCACTATCTGTCAGTATTTGAAGACAAGCTAGACACTGCATATCTTTTGTTTATGTCTATATAGACTGGCCAGTCCCACGAAGTAACTGGTATGGATGGCGAAATAAAATAAAATAAAATAAAAGCTATTTCTTACATTATTTATCTAGAAATAATGATGATTGTAGGCATTTCCTCCTATTTTCTCTAGGATTTATGACTAACTTATAAAATAGGTATTATTGTCCCTCATATATGCACATACATATATAAACCTACCTACCATACATAGACAGACAAATAGATAAATTGATTGACAAATAGATAAATAGATAAATTGATAGATACAGACAAATCATCAGAGATTATTTGACACAGCAATTTAGGACAGAGCCCGAATTGTAATCCAAGTTGCTCTATCTCCTAATACGTTTTTTCTCCCCTACACCATGACATTTCTCTTCAGAAACATGGAGTGTTTTGCCATCTCAAAATGGTGATGTAACCTACAATCTGTGCTATATATCTTTTTCTTTTTCTTTTTTTTTTTTTTGTTTGTTTGAGACAGAGTCTTGCTCTGTTGCCCAGGTTGGAGTACAATGGTGTGATATTGGCCTACTGCAAGCTCTTCTCTCAGGGTTCAAGTGATTAACCCACCTCAGCCTCCCGTGTAGCTGGGACCACAGGTGCACCCCACCATACCCAGCTAATTTTTATATTTGTAGTAGAGACAGGGTTTTGCCATGTTGGCCAGGCTGATCTCCAACCCCTGTCCTCAAGTGATCCACCTGCGTCAGGCTCCCAAAGTGCTGGGATTACAGGTGTGAGCCACCATGCCCAGCCTATTTTTTCTTAAATAAAAAATGTGACATCACATCCACATAAATTACCAAATATCCCTCTCATCTTTACATCATACTGTATTCCCTTCTCTGTCTTTTTTATCTTGCCATATGAATTTATTTCTAATAAAAAAGCCATGGAGATAGAAATATTAAGATTTTTTTTACACATTTCACTATATATAAAAATACCGTCTATAAATCCATCCTGATATACAGACAGAAATAGAAAAAAATGATAAAATTCAATATATGAGTCTGTAATTTAGTTGGGTATGGTTGGCTGAATAATGACTCTCTGAAGATATTCATATCCTAATACCTGAACCTGTAAATTTGTTACATTATATAGAAAAAGAGACTTTACATAAATGATTATAAATTATGGATCTTAAAATGAGATTATCCTGGATTATCCAAATGGTCCCATGTCCTTAAACAATAAAAGTTCTTATAAAAGGGAAGCAGGATAACCAGAGTTAGAAAAAAAATTGGAAAAACTATATACTCATATACAAAAGAATGAAATTGAAAGTCTCTTAAATCATACATAAAAACTATCTCTCAATGAATTAAAAACTTAAATATAACTTCTAAAATCATAAAATTCCTAGAAAAAAACACAGGAGAAAAGCTTCTTGTCAATGATTTTTCAGACATGACACCAAAAGCACAGGCAATGAAAACAAAAATAAACACATGAGACTACATCGAATGAAAAAGCTTCTGCACAGCAAAGGACAATCAACTAAATGAAAAGACAATCTATGGAATGGGAGGAAATACTTGAAAACCATATATATGATAAGGGATTAATATGCAAAATATGTAACGAGCTCACACAACTAAGTAGCATAAATAAATAAATGACCAATTAAAAAATGGGCAAAGGACCTGAATAGACACTTTTCCAAAGAAGACATTCAAATGACCAATACTTACATGAAAAGATTCTCAATGTCACTGACCTTCAGAGAAATGCAAATGAAAACCACAATGAGATACCACCTTATACCTGTTAGAAAGGATTTTATCAAAAAGACAAGATATAAATGTTTGCAAGGTTGTGGAGAAAGGGACCCCTCATACACTGTTGGTGAGAATGTAAATGTAAACTGGAACAAGTATTATGAGAAACAGTATGGAAGATTTTCAACAAAATTAAAAATAGAACTACTACAAGGTCCAGAAATTCCCCTTCTGGGTATATCCTTAAAAAAAATGAAATCAGGATCTCAAACAGATATCTGCATTCCCGTGCTCACTGCAGCATCTTTTACAATAGCCAAGCTATGGAATCAACCCAAGTTCTTATGGATAAGCAAATGGATGAAGAAACTGTTGTATTATATGCATATAAAAGAATATTATCAAACCATAAAATAGAAGGAATAGAAGGAAATCCTGCCATTTACAACAGCATGAGTGAACCTGGAACACATTATGCTAGATAAAATAAGCTAGATACACAAAGACAAACACTGTATAATATTAGTTACATGTGGAATGTGAAAATATGGAATTTATAGAAGCAGAGTAGAATGGTGTTTTCCAGAAGTTGGGGAGAGGGTAGGGTAAATGAGGGTGTGCTGGTCAAAGAGTACAAACTTTGGCTTATAAGATGATCAAGTTCTGGAGATCTAATGCACAGCATGGAAGAAGGTGATTGATGTGTTAATTTGATTCTGATAACCATTACACAAGCCATATGTATATCGAATCATCACATTGTACACATTGAATATACATAATTTTTATTTCCAAATTATTATTATTATCATTTTGAGACAGAGTTTCATTTTCACTGTCCAGGTTGGAGTGTAGTGCTGCGATATTGGCTCATTGCAACCTCTGCCTTCTGGGCTAAAGAGATCCTCCCACTCCATCCTCCCAAGTAGCTGGGACTACAGGCACACACCACCATGCCCAGCTAATTTTTGTACTTTTAGTAGAGACAGGGTTTCACCATGTTGCCCAGACTTGTCTCGAACTCCTGGCCTCAAGTTATCCACCTGCCTTAGCCTCCCAAAGTGCTGGAATTACAGGCGTGAGTCACGGTACCTGGACCAATTAAACATTTAAAAAATAAAATAATAAAATAAAATAGTTGGCTGTCCATATCTGTGAGTTCTGCCTCCACAGATTCAACGAACTGCAGATCAAAAAAAGAACATTTACAGGATGTCAACCCATAGAAATGGAAGTCCTACTTTTCCCGAGGGCAGATAGCCAGACCTGAGCCTGTAGATTTTGGTAGGATTTTGGTATATGTGGCTGTTCCTGGAACCAATTCCCCCCATAACAAGGGATGACTATCAAAATGAAGATTCTAGGAGAGTGTTTTGCGGGAGAAGTGAGAAAGAAAAGATGTAAGGATGCAAGTAGAGGTCAAAGAGATGAGAAGATTTTACATAGCTGACTTTGAAGATGGAGAGAGGTATTATGAGTCAAGGAATGTAGGTAGCCTCAAGAAGCTGAGAAAGAGGCATGGCTTGGTGGCTCATGCCTGTAATCACAGAACTTTGGGAGGCGAAGGTGGGCGGATCACTTGAAGTCAGGAGTTCGAGACCAGCCTGGCCAACATGGTGAAACCTCACCTCTACTAAAAAAGTACAAAAATTAGCTGGGTGTGGTAGCCGGCGCCTGTAATCCCAGCTACCCGGGAGGCTGAGTCTGGAGAATGGCTTGAACCCAGGAGGTGGAGGTTGCAGTGAGCTGAGAGTGCACCCCTGAGTGAAGAAGTTGAAAAAGGCTTCTCTGGACCCTCCAAAAGGATAGCAGCCCTATAGACCCAATGTACATATCTGACCACAGAGATGCAAGACAATAAATATATTTGGCTTTAAGCCACTAAGGTTGTGGTAGTCTATTACAACAGCAATAAGAAACTAACATAGGAATTCCTTTGTCACAATTGTTAAAATCTTCTCCTCTTGAAATTATCCATGTACTCTCAGTGGTTGGGAAATCTTACTTAGAGATGGCTATGAACTGACTAGGAGCACTAGTATGATATCAAATATACTTCAATAAATCATCATTTTTATTTGAAAAGTCAAAAAGTACAAATTTGGTGAATTCTATGGTTTCCATGATCGGCAATGACTTGGAAAGAAAACTTTTTTTGTTTGTTTGTTTTTGTTTTTTGAGACAGAGCCTCACTCTGTTGCCCAGGCTGGAGTGTAGTGGAGAGATCTTGGCTCACTGCAAATTCGGCCTCCTGGATTCAGGTGATCCTCCAGCCCCAGCCTCCTAAGTAGCTGGGATTATAGGTGTACACCACCATGCCTGGGTTTTTTTTTTTTTTTGTATTTTTTTAGTAAAGATGGGGTTTCACCATGTTGGCCAGGCTGGTCTGGAACTCCTGACCTCAAGTGATCTCAGACTCGCAACATGCTGGGATTACAGGCGTGAGCTACCATGCCCAGTCGGAGAGAAAACTTTGAATTCTTGGTGGGAATAAAGGAAGATGGCACAATCAGCTTGGGTTGCTATTAAAAATGGCATAAACTGAGCCAGGTCCAGTGGCTCACGCCTGTAATCTCAGCACTTTGTGAGGCTGAGGCGGGCAGGTCACCTGAGGTCAGGAATTCGAGACCACCCTGGCCAACATGGCAAAACCCCGTCTCCACAAAAAATACAAAAATCAGCCAGGCATGGTGGTGGGTGCCTGTAATCGCAGCTACTCAGGAGGCTGAGGCAGGCGAATCACTTGAACCTGGGAGGCGTAGGTTGCAGTGAGCTGAGATCACGCCTGCACTCCAGCCTGGGCTACAAGAGCGATGCTCTGTCTAAAAAAAAAAAAAAAAAAAAAAGCATAAACTGGGTGGCTTAAACATCAAGTAGTGATGTCTCATAGTTATAGAGGCTGGGAAGATCAGGATCCAGGGGTGCCAGCCAGTTTGGTTCCTGCCAAAGGCCTTCTTCCTTGTTTGCAGATGAATGCCTTTTTGCTGTATCTTCACATGGCTGAGAGATCATCCTGCCGAGTCTCTTATTGTAAGGGCATTAATCCCATCATGAGGACTCCACCCTTATGACCTAATTACCTCCCTAAGGCCCCATCTCCAATACCAACACATTGGAAACTATGACACAAAATTTTGGATGGATACGAACATTCAGTGCACAGCAGAAGACTTCCTTAAGAAGGTGACCCCTATTGCTCTTGGCTTTCAGATAATTTGTAGAAAGAAGTAAAGTGTGTTTATTTTTATAGTAAACAGAGACTTGGAAGTCCTTTCTAATTTCTGTTTTTTCCTCCATTTGTTATTTATTATATTTGGCTTAGGTCAATAGTCAGCATAGTATCAGAGCATTCACAGATCTTTTTTTAGAAGTTTGACCCTTCTTTATATGAACCAATGTTGCCAGCATTGCTTTCCATGTTTACAGATGCACTTTAGACCCTATGAAAAGTAATTACTGGATTCATTTAATATATTCTAGATATAATTAATTTTTATGGCATGGCTTCTGAATAAATAGCTTTTGAAGTGTACTGGTGTCAGTAGAAAAAAGTGGAACTTCTCAGAAGCAGAACTATGCATTCTCTATATTCTTATCACTGCTGGCACCTGTCACATGGTCTACCCCAGAGAGAGGCACAATAAATATGTGTTCACTTCATTGATTCACTGCTTCACTGGCTGACTGGGTGTAGGGGTGTATGTTGGACTACATACTGATTGGTAAAATAAATGGTTATAGCCAACCCATCTTTGTGCTGTTCATATGCTAATCAGCACTTTCAGTAGGGCTTCCTAATTTTTGTTTGCACATCTGTCTACTTCAATAGACTTTGAGCATCCTATTTATATCTGTTTCTCAAGGCTATAGTCTAATTCATGACACATAGGAGGTACTAAGAAGATTAAGTTATAACAGGTACAGGTACTTAGAGAACTGACTGAAAGAATGAATGAATGAATGAATGAATGAATGAATGAACAAATGAATGAATGAACAAATGAATGAATGGATAAAGGGCAATTTAGCATTATTCAAACATGAGTTATTTTGAACAGCTACTTTAACCCATGCACATGTTTGGAATACACTGATGAATGAACAAATGTTGAATTCCTTAAAACATTTCTTCTGCAACATAATATTTATCAGAATCAGAGACTATACCTCCTGATAAGTGTCTGGAGAGAAGCTACATTCAGAGGTTGATAAGGACTGAGACTATGATATGTCACTGAGGAGGCAGGCCTTAAAAGTGCTTCAGCCTCCGTCCTTCTCTAGCAGAAAGACTATACCAGGGCAAAATAAATAAATAATTTAATAAGGAAGCACTTCTTAATTAAATTCTTTGAAATTAGTCCTAAAACATGGATAAATATATTTCAAAATACTAAAAAAAAAAAAATCACTTCTATACAGGATGGATTCAGTTCTTCCAGTTGTTATGTTTCAGAGTGGAGATAATGAAATGCAGGTATGTGTATGTGTGCTTGTGCATTTATATGTGTCACAAGAGTGGACTTGTTATACATGGGTGTTCTGCCCCATCTGGTTCTCTGACTCTAGCATTCTCTTGCTCTTCTGCCTTCCACCATGGCTGTCATTTTATTTGAATGTTAATTATTAATGGTTAGTGAATAAGGCCACTCCAAGTCCCATGACCAGCTGAGAGGTAGGTAGTAATAATAGGCATCTCTGTCTCTTCTCTTAGAGCAGTAGTTCAATATTCACTAATTCAATATTTATGGCAACTGTATAGAATTTGACAACTACGAATAATGTGAACTGACTGTATTTTCCACACACTAGTCCTACCAGAATCTATTCCCTTTTATATCTCAGCTCAACCCTGACATTTTCCCCTCATTGACCTCTTTATGGCCTTTCTGGACTCCATGAAGCTTCTCAAACACACCAGGTATAGTCCCAACTTGCTCTTTTCTGTCTGGAATGCTAAACTCACTAAAATCTTTATGACTGTCAGGTTTTATGAAAGTCTAATATACTGTAATATTTACTTATGTATTTAGTTCACTGTTTATCATCTAACTCATACCCAAAGATTCAGTTTTCACCTGAGTGAAAAATATGCATTCTCTTGTCTTGTTTCTGCAGATGCAAGATGAGGGCCAGACATAGTCAGGTGTTGCTTAACAACAAAGATATAATCTGAGCAGTGTGTTGTTAGACGATTTTGTCCTCATGCAAATGTGATAGAACTTACACACGCCTAGATCGCACAGCCTACTACACACCTAGGCTACATGGTATTGCTTATTGATGCTAGGCCACAAACCTATGCTGAATACTGTAGGCAATTGTAACACAATGGTAAATATTTGTGTGTTTAAACATATCTAAACATAGAAAAGGTGCATTCAAACTATGGTATAAAAGATAAATTTGGTACACCTGTACAGAGCACTTACCATGAATAGAGCTTACAGGACAGTAAGTGGCTCTGGGTGCATCAGTAAGGGGGTGGTGAATCAATGTGATGACCTAGGACGTTACTGTGCACTACTGTGGACCTTACAGATTCTGCACACTTAAGCTCTGCTAAATTTGTTCATTTTCTTTCTTTAATAACACATAACATAACCTTATTATAACTTCTTTTTTTTGAGACGGAGTCTCGCTCTGTCGCCCAGGCTGGAGTGCTGTGGCATGACCTTGGCTCACTACAACTTCCACTCCCGTTGAAGTGATTCTCTTGCCTCAGCCTCCCGAGCAGCTGAGATTACAGTAGCTGGGATTATAGGAGCCACCACGCCTGGCTTATTTTTGTATGTTTAGTAGAGACGGGGTTTTGCCATGTTGGCCAGGCTGGTCTCCAACTCCTGACCTTAAAGGATCCGCCAAGCCGTGACTCCCAAAGTGCTGGGATTATAGACATGAGCCACCATGCCTAGCCACTATAACTTCTTTATAAACATTTAAAGTTTTCAAAAATATTTTTACTCTTTTGTAATAACAATTATCTTAAAACAGAAACACATTGTACAGCTGCACAAAAATATATTCTTTCTTTACCTCATTATTCTATGATTTTTTTGTTTTTAATTTTTTTAACATTTTAAACATTTTAGTTAAAAACTAAGGTGCAAACACACGTTTTAGCCTAGGCCTACACACGGTCAGCAAATTCAAGTTGTCACCAGGAAGCAATAGGAATTTTTTGGCTTCATTATAATTTTATGAGACCACCGTTGTATATGGTGTCATTAACTGAAACATTGTTATGATGTATAGTACTATATATACATGTACATATATTTGTATACATACACATATTCATATATACATACATAAACATATATCTATGATATATGACACGTTTGATACATATGAATACATGTATATGTGATTTGCAAGTACCCAGGTGATCACCATTAACAGCCAGATTTCTGTACTGCTGATATAAGTGCCAGCGAACCTCTGAATAAATATTAGAGGAAGAATCCTTGATCTAGTAGTGCTATGCTTGATAGATTGATGTTCCAGGGATGTCAGATAGTTTAGGGAAAATAAAATGGTGTGTAAGGGAATAGTGATTTAAAAAGCAAACTCTGGAGCCCAAATACCCGATATTTAATACTATCTTGTGGTGAACATTATATATGTGCAACTCATAAAGTAGTGGCATAAAAACTCTTGTTCACTAAAAACACCCAAAGTAAAGGCATTAGTGAGGTATTCACAGTGAAGCTGGAGACAAAGGATATGCTTAAGAGATGTTTTGGTCATAAATCAGTAGAAAGAAATGACTGATAAAAAGTTGGGTCTGGGTGTGGTGGCTCACGCCTGTAATCCCACCACTTTGGGAGGCTGAGGCGGGTGGATCACCTGAGGTCAGGAGTTCGAGACCAACCTGGCTAACATAGTGAAACCATATCTCTTCTAAAAAAATAGAAAAAATTATCCAGGCATCATAGTGGGCACCTGTAATCCCAGATACTCATGAGGCTGAGGCAAGAGGCTCGCTTGAACCGAAGAGGCGGAGGTTGCAGTGAGCCAAGATTGCGCCACTACACTCCAGCCTGAGTGACAGAGCGAGATTCAGTCTCAAAAAAATAAAAAAGTTGGAAACTTAAGGCATTTGATGATGGATGTGATTCTGTACATGATGCATTTGAAGCTTTTGCAGTATATCTAGGTAGAGATGTCTAGTAGACAGAAGTGTGTGCTAGAAAAATGTGCAGAAGCTGCATCATTAGAAGACATAAAGCCTTTAGAGATTTGTGTATAATCTGTGGATGATCGTTTTCACTAGCTCAATCCTTTGCCCCACATTTGCCACTCTACATGACCTTGCTAATTCTCCTTAAAGTACATATGGCTGTCATTTTATGTTTTTATTTATAAGTTATTTGTCTACTGATCATCTCTTTCAGAGGACTGCATGTTCTATATGAACTGGTACCTTTTTCAACTTGTCCACTATTGTATTTATAGCACTTTGATAGTGCTAGTGCCTATTATTTGTTGGATGAATAAATGAATAATTAATATGGTGAATTTTTAGCACAAACACAATATTCAACTAGATGATCTTTTTTTTCTTTTTCTTTTCTTTTTTTTTCTTTTTTTGAGACAGAGTCTCACTCTGTCACCCAGGCTGGAGTGCAATGGCATGGTCTTGGCTCACTGCCACCTTTGCCTCCCAGGTTCAAGCAATTCTCCCTCCTCAACCTCCCAAGTAGCTGGGACTACAGGCACGTGCTGCCACACCTGGCTAATTTTTGTATTTTTAGTAAAGATGGGGTTTCACTATGTTGGCCAAGCTGGTCTAGAACTCCTGACCTCGTGATCCGCCCACCTTGGCCTCCCAAAGTGCAGGGATTACAGGCGTGGGCCATTGCACCTGGCCAGATGATCTTTTATATAACCATAATGGTTGGGGAAAAATAAAAATCAGTATTCTTGCATCACCAATATCCCTATGGTGTTAGAAATGGTAGCATCTTTATTCTTTCACAGTAAAACTAAAATATCTGAAATTAACAACATCATAATCATTTGTCTTGTCTGCTAATAAAGAGTAATGTATAAATCATCACAATGCTAATTATAAAACAAGTAGATCATATAAATACAGCGTGTCTCATTGCCATTACATACTACAAATGTAGTTATAGCGCTACTAAAAATCAACTCTTCTCAAAATACTAAGACATAACTCTGGGAACAACTTAAGAAATAAATTTTAAAAGTAACATATGAGTTGGCACAAATAGAATATTAAATGTAATCTTCATATCTTTAATTATGCAAGTCATAGAAGCAGATGTAAAAGAAAACTTGTATTGAGTAATATATGTTAATAACTTCATATTCAGTTCCCTCAAATCAAATGATTCAGCCAAGTTTTATAGCTTGAGAAGTACTTTATTATACAGAGCACTGAACTAATGACCAGATAAAGAATTTTCTGCTAGCTTTCACTTAGTTCTGAAAAGTCATAGCAAATGCAATAAAATTATATTGCATCTTGTATTATTGATATTTGTGTTATTTCCTCTTTTCGAGTCATTTCTCTTTTTACATTCTCACTAAGGTGAGCTACAAAAGAACTATATCTCTCCCTGGGAAGTACATCTAATGAGAGTGAATGATTGAGAAAAGAAATATTTTACTAAATAGCTTGACCAAGTTTTCAAGAGTGAGCACATACTTTATGTAATGTAACTACTCCATTTTATAGGGATGTAAACTTAGACCCAAAGAATTGAGGTATACTCTTTAAAATTATGTTTAGTTAGTGATGATAGAATATAACTCAAGTCATTGGATGAAGTTACTCCACTATACTATGAGAGTAGCAACTAAGAAATGGCCAAACAGGCATGGTTGGCCTGATACTTTTCCTGTGTTTAATGGGAATTTTATTAAGGTAGGAAAGCAAACTACTCTAAGTAGTAGCCTTTTATGTTCACACTTTATCATCCATCTCCATCCTAAGAGATCAGTAAATTTCAGACTTCAAACAAATAAATAATAGCTCCCCATCAGGAGAAGGTTCTGATATCTCTGTAATTGTAAGCAATATATACAACGAAATTCTCCATTCTCTAAGAAAGGTGGTTTGATCCTTCATCTTATAGTCTTCAATCATTCATTCAGTGTTAAGTATTTTCTGTGTGCAAGATACCTCATTAATCTTTTACAGATACAAAATTTAAATTAAAAAAAAATTGAAGACTTCTGTTTCTGGTTCTGCACATAAGAAACCCGGAAGTCACCATTCCATCCTAACAACAAGCAAAAAGCCGAACAGACTGAAAAGTCAGCAAGTCATCTAGGATCTGTAAGAGTGGTGAAGACACAGGACAAATATCTCCTCCCAAGAACGGAGAGACAGGCAGGGAAACATAGGGAGCCACTGTTTACAGGAGCAGAAACCACCCTGAAATCAGTGTTGGGGTAGGAGAATCTGAATTGGAGTTGATGAAACACTGAAGGCTCAGTGTGGAATAATCTGTAAGGTAAAAACTTCTAGAGGACCCAGGCATGAAGAATAGGGGACTTTTTTTGTTAGTTTTACCTTCAGGCGCACTGCTAGGTTCTCACGTCAAATATCAGAGAAAAATCTCCTCCCTTCCCTGTCTCCCATGCTTCCAGCAGGGGAAGGGCAAAGGATACCATTCTGAAATACGCCAGAGCATTTTATTCTTTTTAACATGGCTTGACCTTAGGAGAGACTAGTTAACAAGGGTCTAGCTAGCTAGGGTATCATCAGAGCCTAACTTACCTCGGAGAAGGAAAATACCCAACTGCAGTCCACTCTAGATATCTTCTCCATCTGAGCAGGGAGAAAAAAAATGGAGAAGCACTTGTGAAGTTCTCAGCACAGAAGAATGGTCTCACTAAGAGTCTGAGACCGATTCATAGGACTGTAGTACACTTTGCCTATGCCCACACATTACTCATGCATTACTAAAAGCCTCTTTACAGTAGATTCTCTTAACTGTTACATTAAATTTACAAGGCATGCCAAAAGGAAACACACACACACACACACACACACACACACACACACACACACACACACACACACAATTTTGAGGAGGCAGAACAGCATCAGAACTGACATGACAGGGATGTTAGAATTATTAGACTGGGAATTTAAACTAACTATGGCCAATATGCTAAGGACCATAATGGGAACGTAGACAGCATGCAAGAACATGTGAACAATATAACCAGAGAATTAGAAATCCTAAGAAAGAACCAAAAAGAAATGTTTGAGATCAAAAACACTGTAACAGAAATGAAGAACGCCTTTGATTGGCTTATTAGTAGACTGGCACAGCTGAAGGAAAATCTTTGAGCATGAGGCTATCTCAGTAGAAAACTCCAAAACTAAAAAGGAAAAGGAACATGGACTGAAAAACAACCAACAACATCCAAGGAGTGTGGGACAAATACAGAAAGGTGTAACATGCCTGTAATAAGAAAACCAGAAAAAGAAGAAAGAAAAAGGAACAGAAGAAGTGTCAGACACCAAACCACAGATCCAAGAAATTCAAAGAACAACAAACTTGATAAATGCCAAAAAAAAAAAAAAAGCCCACTACACCTAGGCATATCATTTATAAACTACAGAAAATTGATGATGTAGAAAAAAATTCTCAGAGAAGTCAAAGAAAAACAACACCTTACCCATAGAGGAAGAAATATGAGAATTACATCTGACTTCCCCTCGGAAATCATGAAAGCAAGAAGAGAATAGAATTAGCTATTTAAAATGCTGAGAGAAAACAAAGCGAAACACCAACGTAGAACTTTATGCTCTGTGACATTACCCTTGACAGTGAAGGAGAAATATAGACTTTTTCAGGCAAACAAGAATTAAGGGAACTTGATGGCGGTAGACCTACTTTGCAAGAAACATTAAATGTAGTGCTTTAGAGAAAAAGACGATAATATAGATCAGAAACTCATATCAACATAACAAAAGGAGGAACATCAAGAATGAATATGTAAAGGTAAAATACATTTTTTATTTGTCTTATTCCTAACTGATCTAACAATAACTTTTTTCAAAATAGTAATAACAACTATGCATTCAATTAGATATAAATGTATATTATTTTGTATGTTTATGCACAAGTGAAATGAATTACAAGCAATAATATAAGAGATAAGAGAAAATTTTGTTATTATAGGGTATTCATGCCATTAGTGAACTAGTATAGCATATTTGAAAGTAGTCTTGGATTCCTTGTAATGCATATTGCAAATTATAGGGCAACCACTAAAAAGATTAAAAAAAAGAAGTATAACTGACATGCTAAGAAAGGAATTAAACTGGAATCATATAAAATGCTTCATTAAAACCACAAAAAAGTGGAAAAAAGTAGAACACAAAAATAAGAACAATAAACAAGTGCGACAAATAGGAAACAGTAACAAATATGGTAGACATTAACTCAATTATGTCAATAATGACTTTGAATATAAGTTGTCTCAATGCACTCATTAACAGAGAATGTCACAGTGGATGAAAAAACAATACTCAGATCTATATGTTTCTACCAGAAGCACACATTAAACATAAAGCTATATGTATTTATAATTTATATACATATATACATTAAGAGTAAATAAATGGCTAAAAATATACCAAACTAACACTAATCAAAAGAAAGAAGAAGTAGCTATATTTATTTCAGATAAAACAAATTTCAAATCAAGGGAAATTATCAGGAATAAATCAGGGCATTACATGATGAAAAATAGGCTGATTCTCCAAAAAAATATAATGATACTTAATTTGTATGCACCTAATAACAGTGTCAAACTACATGAGGGAAAAAATCAATAGAATTAAAAAAAATCACATAATCATCTTAATAGACATAGAAAAACAAACAAACATTTGAAAATATCCAGCATACTTTCATGAACAAAACATTCAATAAATGAGAAATAGGATAGAACCTCCTCAATTCAATAAAGGCCATCTATTAAAAAACAAAAACAAAAACAGCTAAGATTATACTTAATGATTAAAGACTAGTTGCTTTTCTCCTAACATAGAAATAATATACGGATGTCCCCTCTCACTACTTTTTTTTTTTTTTTTTTTGAGATGGAATTTTGATCTTGTTGCCCAGGCTGGAGTGCAATGGCGGGATCTCGGCTCACTTCAACCTCCGCCTCCCGGGTTCAAGCGATTCTCTTGCTTCAGCCTCCCGGGTAGCTGGGATTACAGGAACCTGCCACCATGCTCAGCTAATTCTTTATATTTTTAGTAGATACGGGTTTTCACCATATTGGCCAGGCTGGTCTCAAACTCCTGACCTCAAGTGATCTGCTCGCCTCAGCCTCCCAAAGTGCTGGGATTACAGGCGTGAGCCACCATGCCCAGCCCCCTCTCACTACTTATATTTAACATTTTAGTGAAGGTTCTAGTCAGGGAAATTAGGCAAGAAAAAATAATAAAGGCATTCAAATTAGGAAGGAAGAAGGACATGATCTTATAAATAAAAAAATTCAAATTCATTCATTAACAAAATTCTTAGAACCAATACTCAAGTTCAGCATGGCTTCATGATACAATTTTAATATACAAAAATCTATTGTATTTCTATATCCTTTAACAAATAATCCAAGAATATTAAGAAAATAATTTGATTTACAATAAAACTAAATATAATAAAATACTTAGGAAATAATTTAACAAATAAATGTAAAATATGTACACTGAAACCTATAAAATTCCATTGAAATAATTTTTAAAAGATCTAAATAAATGAAAACAAGTACAAAGTTCATGATTTATATTACTTATCATTAAGATGATGATACTCTTTACATCGATCTATAGACTCGATGAACTCTATATACAAATTCCACCTAAATTATTTGTAGAAATTAGCAAGTTAATTCTAAAATTTACATGAAATTTCACAGGTCACAAAATAGTCTAAACAATCTTAAGAGTAAGAATAATGTAGAAGTACTTACAAAGCAGGGAATTGAGACAGTGTGACATTGTCATAAGGATAGACATGTGGATCAATGGAAGATAACTCAGAGTTCAGAAGTAAATCTATACATTTACAGCAACTGATTTTCGAAAATGGTGGCAAGACCCTTCAAATGGTGCCAGGCCAGCTGGATAGCCACTTGCATACCTCACACCATACACAGCAATTAACTCCAAATGGATCAAAGACCTCAATGTAAGAGATACAGCTATGAACGTCTTGGAGTAGAACACAGGGGTAAATAATCATGACCTTCAATTAGGCAAAAATTCTCACGTATGACACAAAAGCATGAACAACGAAAGAAAAATAAATTAGACTTAATCAAATTTAAAAATAAAAACCTTTGTGCTTCAAAAAGTCAGCATCAAGAAAGTAAAAAGACAAACCACAGAATGGGAGAAATATTTTCAAATCATATGTCAGATAAGTGGGTTGTATCTAGAATATATAAAGAACACTCAGAAATCAGTAATAAAAAGACAAATAACCCAATTAAAAATAGATACAACATATGAATAGACATTTATTCAAGGAAGATATATAAATGTCTAGCACACACTTGATAAAATGCTTGACATCACTAGGTATTAGGGAAATGAAAATCAAAACCACAGTGAGTTTCTGGAAATTTGGGTTGTTTACACCTTATCTATTGTGAACACGGCTGCTATGAACAGTTGTGTAGAAGTATTTGTTTACATATACGTACATATTATTAAAAATAATTATTAAACAAATACTTCTACATAATTATTTCTCGCAGCCCTATTCACAATAGCTAAAGAGAAATCAACCTAAATGACTACAAACTCATAAGATGTGATAGATACACATACGATTGGTTATTAGCCACAAAAAAGAATGAAGTACTGACACATGTGACTGAACTAACCTTGAAACATTGTGCTCAGTGAGCTAACACAGTCACAAAAGATCACGTTTTATGATTCTAGTCATTTGAAAGTCCAGAATATAAAAATATACAGATAGAGTAGATTCAGGATTGCCTAGACCTTGCATGTGTGTGCAGCAGAGGGGTTGTTAGAGAAGAGATAGTTAAAAGGTATGGAATTTCTTGTTGAGAAGAAAATAATGACTTTGTTGCTTGTTGCACATATATATAAACATACTGAAAACTGAAAACATACTGAAAAATTGATTAGTACACATTAGATAAGTGAAATATATGACGATAAAGATACCGAAGATTAAACCAAAGACATATTGCAAGCACTAAGCCTATAAATCTCTTGGCTGAAAACACTGGAGTAGATACTCAGGGCTTTGGATTAAGCAGTGATGTCTTATATATAGAATCTAAATCACAAGCAACCCAGAAAAACATCGATAATTTGGGTTTCACTAAAATTAAAAAACTGTTGGACATCACAGGACATCTTCAAAAAAAGTGGAAAGACAACCCAGACATGGTGAAGGTTATCTGCAAATCATATATTTGATAAGAGATGTGTACTTCAAATCTATAAGGAACACTGATAACTCAATTTAAAAAAGACAACAATGGTAAAGGATTTGAATAGCTGTTTCTTCCAATGGCCAATAAGTATATGAAAATATAAAAAATCAACCCCCAATGTGATAATACCTCATGCCTATTAGAATGATTATGATCAGGATACAAATAATAAGTTTTGGTGAGGATATGGAGAAACTGAAACATTCGTACTATGCTTTTTGGAATGTAAAATGGTGCATTCACATTGAAAAATATTTTGGCAGTTCCTTAAAAGGTTTATCATATTTACCAAATGACCAAGAAATTCCACTCCTATGTAAATATTTAAAAGAAAGAAAAATGTGTCCACAGAAAAACTTGTAAAAGAGTATTCATAAAAGTATTTTCATAACGGCCAAGTAAATATTATACATAATAGCCAAAAGCAACCCAAATTGCCATTAGCTGATCAATGGATACATACAATGTGGTAAATTCATACAATGGAATATTATTTGACAATAAAAAGGTATAAAGTACAACCTATTCAAAGTTAATCCATGAACCTATTTATGTTAAACACGTAAACATGTTAAATGAAATAAGCCATGCACAAAGACTGAATAGTATATGAATCCATTCATATGAAATATCCAGAGTAGGCAAATATAAAAGAAAAATAAGTTTGTGGGTGCCTAGGACTGGGGAGGATGAAAGGAATGGGTGACGACTGCTAAGTACTGGTTTGTTGTTGTTGTTGCTTTTGGTAATGAAAATATATCATGTTTGTGGATTAGAAGATTCAAGAAGAAATTGACAAGATCATTCTAAAAGTTATATGAAAATGTAAAGAACCCAGACTAGTCAAAACAATTCTGTAAAAACTAACTTGGAGCACATACATTATTCAATTTTAAATTTTACTATACACCCAAAATAATTTAAAAAGTGGAAGTGTTGGCATGTTGATAGCTTCAAAGATAATGAAGCAGAATTAAGAATACAGACATACATGGTCAATTAATTTTTTACTAATGTGACAGGGTAATTTGTTGAAGTAAAAAAAATCTTTTCAGCAAAAGTTGCCGAGACGATGGTATATGCATATGACAATGAACCTTGAGCTTTCCCTCATAGGATACACAAATATAAATAAATGCGGATGGATAGGATAAATATAAGATTAAATATAGAAATTAAACTATTTTCTTTGAGACGAAAATATGTCTTATTTTATTTTAGAAAATATATAAATATAAAATATTTTTTATATATTTTCTTCTCAAAGCCATTTTCTTTGAGAAAAAAATACAGGAGAAAATTTTTCTGACATTGAAATGAGTAAAAATTTCTTAGATAAGACACAAAAGTCTAAACCATTTAAAAATGATGAATTACATTTCATCAAATTCAAAACAGCAATATAGAACAATACAAACCATAGTTTCCTTTTTAAAACACACTGTTAAAAATGAAAAGGTGCCAGGCATGGTTGTGTACACCTGTAGTCCTAGCCAATCGTGAGGCTGAGGCAGGGGAACCCAGTTGTTTGGGATTGCAGTGAGCTATAACTGTGCCTGTGAATAGTCACTACACTACATGCTGGGCAACATAGTTAGATCCTGTCTCTATGTCTCCAAAAAACAAATAATAATCATAAAATAAAATGTAAAAGTGGAAAGGAAAGGCACAAACTGAAAGAAAATATTTAAAAAGCATATATTCTACAAAGGACCTGTACCCAGAATATATAGAGACATTTTGCAAGTTAATAACAACGTGACAGACAATCCAATAAATAAAATGATAGGTACTTTATTGAGAGAGTTAAATCAATGGTAAATAAGCACATAAGATGTTTGACACCATTTTTGTCATTAGAAAATTAATATTGAAACTGCAATGACATTTGAATATACATCTATTATAAAGACTTAAAATGGTTATATAATTGCTTAAATAAACAAATGAGAAATATGACAACGTCAAATGTTGGCAAGGATGAGGAACAACAGAAACACTCATACCTTCCTACTAAAAATTCAATATGTTAATAATAGTCATTAAAAAAATTCAGCAATTTTTTATCAAGTTAAAATATGCTTTCCATGTGACTCAGCAATCCCACTCCTAGGTCTTTACCCAAGAAATGTAAATGTATGTCACAAGAAGACATGTGTTTTTGTTTGTAACTTACACCTGTTAAATAATGCTAATGGAACTTCATTCATAATGGCCCCAAACCACAAATAACTCACATGCCCATCAATTGGTGAATGTTCCAAAAGTTTATAATATATATTCACAGAATAGAGTATTACTTAGTAATAAAAAGAATGAGTTACTAATACACGCTAAAACATTAATACATTTTAAATATGTTGTACTAAATGAAAGATGCTAGACAGAAAAGACTGCGCACTACATGCCTCCATTTATATGAAACCACGAGAGCAGGCAGATCAATGTTTGCTGGGGCAAGATGCTAGCAAAAACGTTTGCAAATTGGAATCTCAGCATTTTTCATGGGTGATGGAAATGTTTACTATCATGACTGTGGTGGTAGTTACACTGCTATTTGTTAAAACTTATTCAACTCTACATTTGGCAATTTGTATTGTATATAAATTATCTCAAAGCTAATTTCAACAGATAAAAGAGAGATACAATATGCAAACTTTAACAAAACTATGTATTACTCTGTTTTATTTTTCTTTTCCTCTGCCTGAAATATAGGAGACCTATGTCTTCCTCCTTCCTTATCGATGCCTAATACTACAAAATATATGGCTTGCAAAATCAGATCAAACATCTGCATTTTCTATTCTATAAGAGTCTAGTAGCTTAGAATATTTGTTAGAACTGCCTTCAAAGGCATGCTAAGCATTATTTTCAAAACATGTAAAGAATCCTATCATTTTAAAACATGGCTACAGAGGTTTTCAAATAAATAGAAACATAAACCTCTGCTATACTGCCATAATTTGACTATAGAGTTGCTCATCCTGATAAAAAAAGATACGAAGAGTTTTAGCCAATATATTTTTGCTAACCAAATATTCAGCTCATATCAAGACGAAGTCACTAATTTATTCATATATTTATTTTTAAAAAGCAAGTAGTAGAACACACTACCAAATATATTTTTTTCAGAAGAACATAAAGTTGAATATCACAGAGACAAGCCATCATATTTGAGATGGTAATCAAAAAGAAATTGGAGTTGTTATGTGTACAAATTTGAGAGAATCACTCAAGTAAAAGTTAAAAGTTAATAATATATTTTCTTTCTTTCTTTCTTTCCTTCCTTCCTTCCTTCCTTCCTTCTTTCTTTCTTTTTTTTGAGACAGAGTCTCACTTTGTCACCCAGGCTGGGGTGCAGTGGCACTATCTCGAGATCGGCTCACTGCAACCTTCGTCTCCTGGGTTCAAGTGATTCTCATGCCTCAGCCTCCCTAGTAGCTGGAACTACAGGTGTGTGTCACTATGTCCGGTTAATTTTTGTAATTTTAGTAGAGACAGTGTTTCACCATGTTGGCCAGGTTGGTGTCAAACTCCTGACCTCAGGTGATCGTCCCTCGTCAGCCTCCCAAAGTGCTGGGATTACAGATGTCAGCCACTGTACCCAGCCATATACATTCTTTCATACAGTAAAGAAATATCAAAATCCAAATAATACATAGAAATAAAATAAATGCAAGTTAGAATAAATCTTGAAATTGTATTTTACCTTCTAGCCAGAAAAATCCATTAATGAATAGAAAATATCCTTTGTTGCCAGTAAAAGAAAATACAATATTTTCTTCTTTTGAAATTACTAACTTCGTAGAATTATTTGACAATACTGAAGATGTCCAAGCAAACCTTATCTTTCTTACTTTCATAAGCAAGACATTAAATATTGCAATGGAGATCCTTGGATACAAGTTGAAATTGACGCTAACATCCATGTTCAGAATCTACTTTTTTAAAAATGAGCTGAGAATCTGAAACTGATTATGTGTTCTGTTACTGTGTATAAAGATGAAAGGTCTAATTGGCCTATGGGACCTCTTGACAGGACAGATTTAACCATGAAGCAGAGTAGGGACAGGACCAAAGGCCCATGGTGCTTTTAGGGATGCATGAAAATATTTTAATTCATTTCAAAATCAAAATATAAACTGAATAAATCAAGCTGGATGATAGCTGTCTTCATACCAAAACAGTTATGAAATATAGTATTTTTGTATTAATCTGACTCTAAACTGGTGTTCAACATTTGAGCAAAGTTTATGGATCAGTGAAAATATGTTCACATAATAAATGTGTGCTTTGTGACAATGCTGAATCATCTTCAAGGGTGGACTTAGAGAATGCCTAAGTTCCAAACGCATACCAGCCACTGATTTGCAAGAAGACATGGGAGAGGAATAGTGTCAGGAACTGGACATGTGATACATAAAACTGATCTCATTTTACATGCCAGAAATTGACAATCCTTGCCTTTCTCTTTGTACCGGACTACACTGTTGTTATTTTAAAACATGTATTGAAAATAAATGATCATTAATTGACCACATTTTTTAGTAATAGAGAAGAATCTTACTCAGGCTGTTAATTATGATTATTTATCCCTTCATGGTTTGTTTTGCTCTATTCTGTCTGAGAAATGCATCACACTGTGATCTTTATGTTCAGACAGTCTTACAAGGCTTCCCACTGTGCAGTTCTTAGCTCTTCATCACACAATGAAACCCAGTCTGTGTGAAGCTAAGATATTACTTCTTCACTATTATGCATAATAAGACTTACAATTTGTTTGTCTATGATTAATTACTTTTCCCAAGAGATGTAATGCTGAATGTTTTCATATGCTAATATGTGCCAAGCTGCCAGTGCTAACTCAGCTCTCTAATCCTAAAACTCACCTTAAGTGAATGAATATCACTGTTTATTGCCAAAGTTGTCATTTGTCTGGAAATGAAATAAATATCTAAGAAGAATTTCAATGATAGAGCTGCTTTTCAGCTGACAGCTCATTCCTTGTTATCAAAAGGCAAATATATGTCAATGTGTGCATTACTTAAGACTCATGAGATAATTGCATCAATTTGCCTGACAATCTGATAATTTCATTTGCACAGTTGTGAATGGTGTCAACACTGAATGAATGTACCTTAGACAAAAGGTGTGAAACACAGTTGGAGAAAAAAGGGCTTCTATTGAAGTGTCTTCTGCCAGATGAAATCCTAGATAGTTGCTTTCTTCTTCAAAAGTGTGTGTCCTTGACTCAAATTTGATCTTGAATTTATTACCAAAAAAGAGAACAGATTCAACATTCCAGGTGGCCTAAGAAACATGTAGGTTTCTAATCATTTCTTTTAATTCAAAATTTTATTTGTTGATATATTTGTGAAAGTCCATATAGTGCACAGGTATATACTTGGAGCAAGCTGTGTGATGGATATTGGAGAAACATATATTTTAGCAATAGATCCTTCTCATCTCAAATCTCCCTAAGTTTTATGGTGTTAAGTAAGTTTTGTTGCTGTTTTCTTAATTTCTCTAATTACAGTTTTTTTTAAATTATCTAAGTGGGTATAATCCTACCCACTGCTAAGGAATTTTGTGGAGATTAAATGTGTTAATAAACAAAATGTGTTTATAAATAAAATGTGTTAATAAATGAAACAATTCTATTGTAATCAGCTCAGGTTAAACACTTAGAATAGTTTAATTGTTATTATTAACACAACTACATGTGCATTTAATCAAGTTCTTATATTTTTTAAGCCTCAATGTCTTTATCAAATAGATCCAAGAATAAATCATTTGTAATGTTAATACGTTTGAAGTGTTGTTGCGATGGTCACTTAAGAAACATAAATATCTTTGCCTAGTGTATAGCACAAAGATGCCTTTAGGGAAAAAAAAGTGCTTTCTTTATTGTATGCAATCAACAAGTAAAATATTAAAATATTATATATATATATTTTCATATGGTGGCATTGACAGGCTTCAAAATTAACTGCAGTGTATTTCTATTTTATTATTCACCTGAGCTGGTGCTAGCAGCAGATTCTGCCTGGAGTAATTGTTCAGATCAGTGGTCTATGGCCAAGGACAGAAGAAATGAGACTTTTAATTAATAGAGTGGAAACCAGAGAGATATAATAGTTGGGGCATCTGCTAAACTATAAATCTCTAAACAGAAATGACTCTGTTTGATTGCAACTCAATATTTAGAAATTATAAGATGCAACATGGAGTTCATCTCAAATAAAGAGTTCTTATTTAACTTAGAATGTAAACCTACAGTGCATTAATGCATGTCCAATTGAATTTTATTGTGATAGAATAAAAAAGGAGGCTTAACATATTTTATTAAATGCATGCATTTGCCATCAAAATATCAACTAAAATGATAGCAGATGACTCATTTTTTTTAAAAAAATTAATACACCTAAGTACTAGAAGAATGAGAAAAGATATTTGTACGTGAATAGTTCAGCACATACTTAAAATATTTATAGCAGGTAAATCATTGTTAATTTTCTTAACAGAAAGTAGAGAATTAAAAATTAAAAAGTGTAATGCTGTAAGAAAAAAATAAGTGGATTCACCCAGAATTAGCCGGCTCAGAAATTGGAGGCAGGAATATGTGATGTTTAAAAGATACATGAACAATAGTCAGACTCCAACTTCCACTGTTCCTTCAAAACCCATGTATGCCACGTTTCTGCTCAGGAGAAACTGAACCAGAGATGGTCTGGATGCAAGGACCTTGAGGCACAACAGAAGATCTGGGAGAAACATAATCATAAATGGAAGGAGTGCTTAAGTGCACTTCTATTCACTGAAATGTGAACGTCATCTTACTCAAAATCTATCCCTGCTATTGAGCTCCCAGGATTCTGGCAGCCATATTTACAGAGCCCATTTTGGAAACTTGGAGAAGGTTTTTATTATTATTATTATTATTATTATTTTTTATTCTTTCAGAAATCAAATGCCTCTAGGGAAATATCTTTTAGTTTTCCCTCTTCACCCTCCATTGAGTTCTACCAGTTGACAATAGCAACTGTTGAACCAGAGCGCTCCAGAACACACTCGGTGATTTTTAAATATGAACAGTGATCCAAGTATCACCAGACATTAGAGGAGGGTCTCTATTATAAAGCTAGAACCCAAAACAAATGAATGGGAAGGAAAAGAATAGGAAATGCATATAGTCTTTGGAGAGGACAATCAAAACCTTACATCAACAGGAATATGTAATATTTTTAGAGAAAGTAAAAAAAAAAGTTTCAACCAAGAAACAAAAGGAAGAGGCTGTATAAAATAAATAGGAAATACAAAATATTTCTAGGAAATTCAAAATACGATAGCTTAAATTAATAAAAAATTTAAAACCTATACATGTTGTAAACCAAAAGTAAAATGGTAAGCCCTCAGCCATCTGAATGGACCTTCTCCCCTGGACAAGAACATTCCAAAGTCAGTTCAGGACATAATGGGAAGGGGGAGCCAGACATGCCTCATTATATCCTCCTCCCTTTTGGAATTACTGATAGAACAGACTCTTTAAGTCTGGTAAGAAACATTTACAATCTATTCTCTTTAGAGATTGCTAACTGGAGTATTCATCTGCATATTAAACTTTGATCTCCAAAACTCCTTATTGTAACCCAGGCATTCATTTCTAATGATAACTCTTTCAACAGATTACCAATCAGAAAATCTTTGAATGCACCTATGACTTGGAAACCCCCACTTCCAGTTACTCCACCTTTCTGGACTGAACCAATGTATGTCTTACATGTATTGATTGATGCCTTATGGCTCTCTAAAATGTATAAAACAAAGCTGTGGCCTAACCACCTTGGGCACGTGGTCTCAGAATCTCCCGAGGATTGTGTCATGGGCCATTGGTCACTCAGATTTGGTTCAGAATAAATCTCTCCAAATATGTTACAGAGTTTGACTCTTTTAGTTGATAATGTGTTGGATGATAATATCAAGGAATCACTGAGAAAGTGGCATAAAAATAATCAGGGAAGCATATCAAGAATCATACATAAAGATCCTTGTGGTGTGTTTTGCAATATAAGCTATTAGAAACAATTCAAATGATTAAAGATGGTTTAGGGTTGTATTCACACAAACATTGTATGTGGATAACAACATATGTAAGTTATTTGTTATAAGCACTGTTAGACAGATATGTGAATACTGTCTAATGGCATGACTCCCATACAGAAAAACTGAAAAATCTGAAAAATACATCTAACAGTTAATGGTGGCTTCCACTGGGTTTTTAGATCATAAGGTGTCAACTAACAACAAAATTCTAAGCCTCCCAACAATCTAAATGGACCTTTCTTCTTGGGAAGGGCATTCCAGAGTTAACCTGAAAAACTATTCAGACCATGATGGGAAGTGGGGGTAAGACATGCCTCATTATCCCCCACTTCCTTTCAAAATTCAGGCATAGCTGATCAGCATTAACAATAAAACAGATCTTACAGCTGACAAAGCTGAATCTGTAGCAATGAGATACCAAATTACAGCCTGACTCTAGCACAGCATTGCATGACAGATAGCAGGCCCTGAAACAAATCAAAGTATTTTACCTCAAATAATGTTTATTTGCTATATCTTGAAATAGTCCTGCAAAGCTGTCTTTTGTGGGAAAAATCTACATTCTGAAAATAATCCCTTCCCTTTCCCAGGTTTTTTACCTGATTCAGAAGAAAATTAACTAAGATTCTGGCATTCTTTTAAGTCTGATAGAAAACATTTAAAATCTATTTGCACTGAAACTTGCTGCCTGGAGGATTCATATGGTAATAGAAGAAACCATGGTCTCCTCAAGCTCTTATCTTAACCCAGACACTCCATTCTATTGACTCCAAGTCTGTACATAAACTCTTTAAACCAACTGCCAATCAGAAAATCTTTAAATCCACCTATGACCTGGAAGCCATCCCCACCACTTTCTTCAAGTTGTCCCACCTTTCTATATCAAAACAATGTACATCTTACGTATATTGATTTCTAATATCTCTCATAATGTATAAAACCAAGCTGGAGCCCGACCACCTCGGACAAACGTTTTCAGGATCTCCTGGGGCCAAGTCACAGGCTATTGGTCACTCATATTTGGCTCAGAATAAATCTCTGCAAATATTTTACAGAGTTTGACTCATTTCATTGCCAAAGGAAATGAATGCTGTTATTTTAATAACTAGTCTGCATTTTCTAAATTGTATATAATTGATATATATTGCCGTTATTTGAGCAATTTAATATATAAAATAAGAATTAAAAACTTGATTTTCAGTTCCAGGTTCTTCATGCTCTTTACCAATTGTGTTAAATGACTTTCTTCTCTTTGTCTAAGAAGGCAGTGTAACTATGTCATCTATTCATTTGAACCACAACATTTATTAAGCACTTATTATATGCCAGCCTTTGTATTAAGTACCGGGGATGTAGTGTTTACAAGATAAGTCAGTCTTTGCTATCATGAAATAAATAATCTAGAAGAGAAGATAGCTAAGAAACATAAAATCACATACATAAAAAAGAAAAGTGTGTGTATTAGTTAATTCTCACACTGCTATGAAGAACTGCCCAAGACTGGGTAATTTATAAAGAAAACAGGTTTAATTGACTCAGTTCCACATGGCTGGGGAGGCCTCAGGAAACTTACAATCATGATGGGAGGGAAACAGGCACATCTTACATGGCGTCAGATGAGAGAGAGAGAGCATGAAGGGGAAACAGTCCCTTATAAAACCATCAAATCTCATGAGAGCTCACTCATTATCGTGAGAACAGCATGGGGGACATCTCCCCCATGATCCAATCACCTAGCAGGTCCCTCCCTCAACACCTGGGGATTACAATTCGAGATGAGATTTCGGTGGAGACACAAAGTCAAATTATGTCAGTACGGCTTGTAAAAAGTACCTTGAGTTGGTTCCAAGTCTTTGCTATTGTGAATAATGCCGCAATAAACATACGTGTGCATGTGTCTTTATAGCAGCATGATTTATAGTCATTTGGGTATATACCCAGTAATGGGATGGCTGGGTCAAATGGTATTTCTAGTTCTAGATCCCTGAGGAATCGCCACACTGACTTCCACAATGGTTGAACTAGTTTACAGTCCCACCAACAGTGTAAAAGTGTTCCTATTTCTCCACATCCTCTCCAGCACCTGTTGTTTCCTGACTTTTTAATGATTGCCATTCTAACTGGTGTGAGATGATATCTCATAGTGGAATACTATGCAGCCATAAAAAATGATGAGTTCATGTCCTTTGTAGGGACATGGATGAAATTGGAAACCATCATTCTCAGTAAACTATCCCAAGAACAAAAAACCAAACACCGCATATTCTCACTCATAGGTGGGAATTGAACAATGAGATCACATGGACACAGGAAGGGGAATATCACACTCTGGGGACTGTGGTGGCGGGGCAGGGGGAGGGATAGCACTGGGAGATATACCTAATGCTAGATGACGAGTTAGTGGGTGCAGCGCACCAGCATGGCACATGTATACATAAGTAACTTACCTGCACAATGTGCACATGTACCCTAAAACTTAAAGTATAATTAAAAAAAAAAAAAAAGTGCCTTGAGGAAAAACATTGGTTGAAAAGAATGAATATCAATTGGATGGTCAGGGAGCCCTCTCGAGAAAAGTTGACTTTTGACCTGAGAAATTAGACTATGAAGCCATATAAAAGGAGTGATGGGAAAGAAAACGAAAAAAAAAAAAAAAAACAGTGAGCATTATCCTCCAAAGTTGGAAAGGTCTCAATATAACTCAGAATCAAAAAGAAGGTAAAAGCATAATTAGTAAAGGAAAGAAAGACGTGATAATTTTAGAGAAATTGGGAGACATGGAAGGAAGGATTTGAATCATGAGTGATCCTAATTCATAGAGCTCTTTTGATTTTAGGCTAGAATTAACATGATCCATTTTACAAGATAATTATGGTTGTCAGGTGATGAATGAATGAGAAGATGTGAGAATGCCAGCAGGAACCATTTGGAAGCTACTGCATTAGCCCATGTAAACAGGATGGTGTAATAAATTCAAACTATACCTTGCAGATTAGTGGTTTGTTTTATTCCTGGAAGGACTACTTCACTGTAAAGGGACAAAACACAATGCCACAATAGATGTCCTCTGCTCTGGCTTCTGCTTTGTCACTATTGAAGAACATGGACTACTCAAAAGGAGATTCCAGGTTAGAGGCACTGTTATCTGAAAGCACATCGCTTATTGCTCATTACTAATTTTGGTAATAATGTTAAGCAGCACAACTGTATGGCCTGAGAGAAAACATTGTAGACAGAGAAAACATTTTTTTCTCTAAGCTAATCTTTAAATTGTGTTATTATTGTTATTAACCATAGAAAAGCAACCCTACATATGCACCAGAATCATTGACAATTCCCTGTTATAATACAGGATTGAAGGCACCGTGCTCAGACCTCTTGAATCAGATTTGCCTGGGTTAAAGCTCTGGATGCTGCATTTTAATGTACTTGCCATGCACACTCCCCAGGGGCTTAACTATGCAACAGATAAGGGAACTACTCTTCCAGGCTACATCATAACAGGCTGTCCTGACACCAACCACACCTGCATCTTCATTTTTTTGGGGGAAGTTACCATATAGGGAGTGACAATCAACCAATGCAACATAATACAAAATTAAAACCTAATTTTAGACTCAAAGTACTGCTATTTCCTCATGTTTTTGAATTCAAGTTTATTCAGAATTAATTTACCTAATGATCAACAGAAAAAAAAATAGGTAAGTGTTTTCTATCCGAATGAAAATTCAAAATCGAATGTGGTTTCTTAAGAACAAATGTGATTTCTTTTGAGATTTTCTTATCTGATTTTTAAGGAAAATTCAAAAACTTACTTAAAGTAAATATTTTATTAAAAAGGACACTCTGTAAGGAGGAATAAATGTAGCATTCTGGAAGTCAACATAATCTAGGTCCTCTAGAAATCACATTTTTTTATTTTCTGTTTAATATACTATGCATTTTTTAGTCTAAGTAGTAGGGATTTGAATAGATAGCTGTTCAAGTAGATAAAGCATTAGTTTAATACAAGGCATTAAAGACTACAAAGAAATTGCCAATTTCTCTTCCCTGCCATAAAGAGGAAGACACTATAGTATGATCACAAGGTCATTTCTACCTTAACATTCTGATTCTGATGTTGTTGCATATCTTGTGCAAATCACATGCTCTTTTCCATTTTTTTCAACATACAAAATGGAACATGAAGATCACAAATATTCATTTACTCTATGCTACCTGCAAACAGTACTCACAGCTTTATCTGTGATATAACACTAACCCTCTGCAAAAATGCAATATGATAGTTAGCAATATTGTAACATTCTTTCACACGAGAAAAGTGCGTCTCGGTGTGGTTAAATTATTTGGGTAACGTTATACAGATCATAGGGGAAACGCACTTTGGTCTAATTTGCAATATATGCTTTTCTCTGCTATGTCAAATTTTCCCCCATAATGAGTTCTTTTTAATTTTTTTGTAGAATTAACTACAAGTTTTCATATTAAATTCTAATGCTCCTCAGGGGCATAGAAAGGACAAAGTCATAAGTTGTTTTTAATTTCTGCTTTGGTCTATAGCCACATTATAGCTATACACTGGCCAGAGGAAAATAAATGGACAAAAAATTCAGTAAAGCAGATCCTAATGCACTATACAGAATGAAGAATCATGGAACGCTGCATATTATGATTATTCTATTCATGGGACAGTAAATAATTTTTATCTCTTGCAGCAACTCTAATCCATAAATACAGAATTCCAATAGCCATGTGCAGAGAAAGGTTGCTGATGCAATTTATCAAAAAAGGTACCAGGATCAATTAGCAAGGTCTAACTAACATGGGTGGAGCAGGTGGAAGGGGTGGCTTTTATTCTGGTTCAGGTATTCCTTAGAGACATTGCAGGTTTGGTTCCAGATTATCACAATAAAGCGAATATCACAATAAAATGAATCATATGATTTTTTTTGCTTTTCTAGTTCATATTAAAGTTGCATTTGTACTGTAATCTATTAAGTGTTTAATAGCATTATGTCCAAAAATCAATGCACATATCTTAATTAAAAATATTGCTAAAATCTGCTAGTGATCATCTGACTCTTTAGTGAATCATAAACTTTTTGCTGGTGGAGGATCTTGCCTTGATGTTGCTGACTGATAAGGGTAGTAGTTGCTGAAGGCTGGGGTAGCTATGTTAAGTTCTCAAAATAATAATAATAAAATAACATTTACCACACCGATCAACTCTTTCTTTTAAGAAAGATTTTTCTGTAGTATGCAATACCATTTAATAGCATTTTACCAACAGTAGATCTTTTTCAGGAATTGAAATCAATACACTCAAACCTTGCCACTGCTTTATCAACTAAGTTTACTTATTTTCTAAATCCTTTGTTGTTATTTCAGCATTGTTGACAGCATCTTCACCAGGAGTAGATTCCATCTCACGAAATAACTTTCTTTACTCATCTAAAAGAAGCAACTCCTGGTCAGGTGCAGTGGCTCTGACCTGTAATCTCAGCATTTTGGGAGGCCGAGGTGAGTCGATCACTTGAGGTCAGGAGTTGGAGACCAGCCTGGCCAACATGGTGAAGCCCTGTCTCTAATAAAAATACAAAAATTAACTGGGCATGGTGACACACGACTGTAATCTCAGTTACTTGGGAAGTTGAAGGAGGACAATCGCTTGAACCCAAGAGGCAGAGGTTGCAGTGAGCCAAGATGGCGTTGCTGCACTCCAGCCTGGGCAACAGAGTGAGTGAGACTCTGTCTTAAAAAAAAATGGCAACTCCTCATTCATTCAAGTTTTATCATGAAATTGTAGCAATGCAGTCACATCTCCAGGTTCCTGTTTTAATTCTAGTTATCTTGCTATTTCTACTACACGTGCAATTATATCCTTCACTGAAGTCTTGAACTTCTCAAAGTTATCTATGAGGGTTCTAAATCAACTTTTTCAACCTTCTGTTATTGTTGGTATTTTGACCTCCTCCTATGAATCACAAATGCTCTTAATAACATCTAAAATAGTCTTTTCCAGAAAGTTCTTTTATTTATTTTGCCCAGATTCATCAAAAGAAACATTATCTATGGCAGCCATAGCCTTATAAAATGCATTTCCAGTACCTGGAAGTTGAAAATACTTCTCGTTCCATAGGCTGCAGAATGGATGTTGTGTTAATAGGCATGAAAACATCATTGCTATCCTTATTCATCTCTGCTGGGCATAGTGGCTCATGCCTGCAATCCCAGCAATTTGGGAGACTGAGGCAGGCACATCATTTGAGGTCAGGAATTTAAGACCAGCCTGGCTAACATGGCTTAAGTCTCCATTAAGAATACAAAACTTAGCTGGACATGGTGGTGCACACCTGTAGTCCCAGCTACTTGGGAGACTGAGGCAGAAGAATCCTGCAGAGTTTCCAGTGAGCCGAGATCATGCCACTGCACTCCAGCCTGGGTAACAGAGCAAGACTCCCTCTCAAAAACAAAACAAAACATAAACATTCTTATCCCTCTCCATCAGAGCTCTTGGGTGACTGGGTGTATTATCAATGAGCAGTAATTTTTAAAGGAATCTTTTTACCTGAACAGGTCTCAAGAGTAGGCTTAAAATATTTCGTAAAGCATGCTATAAACTGGTGTATCATCACGCAGGCTTTGTTGTTTTATTGACAGACCACAGGCAGAGTACCTTTAGCATAATTCTTAAGGGCCTCAAGATTTTTGGTAAATGATCATGGCTTCAACCTAAAGTCACGAGCTGCATTAGTTCCTAACAAGAGAATCAGCCTGTTCTTTGAAGCTTTGAAGTCAGGCTTTGACTTCCCCTTTCTAGCTGTGAAAGTTCTGATAGTATCTTCTTCCAATAGAAGGCCATTTTGTCTACATTGAAAATCTGCTGTTTACTGTAGCCATCTTCATCAATTATCTTAGTTACATCTTCTGGATTACTTGCTGCAGCTTCTGTGTCAGCACTTGCGGTTTACCTTGCACTTTTATGTTATAGAAACAACTTCTTTCCCTAAACCTCATGAACCAACCTCTGCTACCTCCATGCTTTTATTCCACAGTTTTCTCACTTCCCTCACCTTTTTAGAATTAAAGACAGTTGCAGCCTCGCTCTGGGTTAGGCTCCGGTTTATAGGTATGTTGTGGCTGGTTTGATCTTCTACCCAGACCACTCAAACTTTCTCCATATCAGCCGTAAAGCTGTTTCACTTTTTTAACATTTGTATGTTCTCTGAAGTAGCATTTTTAATTTTTTTCAAGAACTCTTTCTTTGCTTTCAAAACTTGGCTAATGGTTGACACAACAGGCCTAGCTTTTGGTATTTCCAGGCTGTTGACACAACTTCCTCACTAAGCTTAATCAATTTTAGCTGCTGATTCAAAGTGAGAGAGGTGCAACTCTTTTTTTTTTTTTTCACTTGAACACTTAGAGGCCATTGTAGGGTTATCAATTTGTCTAATTTCAGTATTGTCATATCTCAGGGAATAGAGAGAGAGAGATGGGGCAATGGTAGGTGGAGCAATCAGAATACATGTAATATATATAGACAAAGTTTGCTGTTTTATATGGGCATAGTTTGTGATGCCCCAAAGCAATTAAAATAGGAACATCAAAGATCATTCATCACAGATCACCATAACAGATATAATAATAATGAAAATCTTTAAAATATTGCAAGAATTCCCCAAATGCAACACAGAGACATGAAGTGAGCATATGCTGTTAGAAAAATGGTTGCCACAAGCTTTCAATTTGTAACAAACACAATATCTGTGAAATGCAATAAAGTGAAGCATGATAAAAAGAGGCGTGCCTGTAATTTCTAGCTCTTTCCTTACCAGCAATGTAATGTTGGCCAAGTGACTTCCTCATTTCATTCCTTAATACTTAAGTAGTGCTAACATCCACCTCTTCGTGTTGGGGAATCATTACATAAGTGTTGTAGTTTCTATAAATTGTCTGCCCCAGTACCCCATTATTTTATTGCTGTACTGGGAGCTTTAGCACAGCTTTAATGAGTTGCAGGTACTTCATGTCTCACTTAGTCCGTTACATCTCTTCACAAATGCACGTGCTTCTTTTTGGATTATTCTTCCCTCCATCTCTTATGGGAAACCCTAGTTATAAACAGGCTTTGGAGCCCAACAGTGCTGGGTTTAATTCTGTCTCTGCCAAAGAATCTGTGTGTTTTGGCAATTTATTTTAACTTTATCAGCCTCGGTTTCCTCATCTGTCAAATGTGGCTTCTCATAGTATAACACAGAATTTACAGAGTGGTTGTGAAGATCAAATCAAGTGAGGAAATTTCTATTTTAGATTATGCCAAATATCTAATAAAAAGTAACTGTAATAATAAAATTATAAACTAATTACACAATAATTTTATGTATTATGAATGATTATAATACTTTCCATTTTATTATCTGCAAGCATGAATCTTCAAAGTAAAATCCAAAAAACCATTTTTATTCTAATCCACACATTATTTTCTTCCCAAGAATAAAATTGAGCCAGGTTTACCTTGCAGAAATATATTTCTTAGGGGAAGAACCTTACATATTATATCATAAAGGCCACTTTATTTTTTATTGTATTTTCAGACCTGACATATAAGAATGCCCAACTAGATTTATATTGGCAGTTTTATAATACATTAAGTAGAAATGTTATTTTCTCCTTCCAAAAATCCAAATATTTTAAATCTCAAATGTCGCCTCCGCAGAGTTACCTTCCCTGAATACTCCTTCTGAAATAAAGCCTTGAGCCCAGCCATCAAATTATCTCTTTACATTTTGTTTCACAGAAGCAATCATTTCTCAACATTACACTACATATTTATCTGATTTCTACTTTTTTTGTTTTACTCTGCTAGACTGTAAGCTCCATAAGGACAAGGAACTTGTCTAGTTTACTGCTTGAATCTCCAGCTGTTATGATAATGCCTGGCACATATGTTGGATCTTGTTTTCACTTTTTTCTTTTGACGTATGTATAGAGCCACAAGAAGTTACAAATATATTACAGAGATGTCCTGTGTACTTGTAATTCAGTTGACTCCAGCGCTAACATCCTACATAATAGTACACTAGGAAACAGAAAATGGACATTATTGGAACCAAACAACTAGAGGACTTAGATCTCATGAGTTTGTGTGCTCATTTTTTTTTGCACATGTTTGTGTATAGGTCTACATTTTATCACATTTATAGATTTGTGTTAACTACGATCACCATCAAGATACAGAGCTATCATCTCATCTCAAAACTCCCACATCTCAAAACACCAGAATTGTTTTATATATGCATCTCCTCTCCTTCCCTAACCCCTTGCAACCACTGATCTGTTCCCCATCTCTATAATTTTGTTATTTTTAGAATGTTATATAAATTTACTCATATTATATGCATATATAATAGCTATTTTCACTCAGCACAAATAATACCCTTGAAATTTATCAAAATTTTTATATGTACCAATAGTCTGTTCCTTTTTATTATTTAGTTGTATTCCATATTTCTACTAATTATGTCATTAAGTAAATCCCACTTTCTATGATTTATATTACATCTTTCAAAGTCATGTAAAATATTTGCATTGTTATCACTTTATTTCAACATATTAACCTGCCACTTATCTTGTCCAGGACACTGTATATCTTTATATTGTAAAATTTTAAAATGTCATATTTTCCTCCTGCCTCCACATCCTTATAAGCAGCTGTGAACACCCTGCCCAGGTGGTCAGGTGCACTAAATGATAAGGAGGTACCTGCCACAATTTCCCTTCTTGCCCTCCCCTGACTGTTGAACTAGTGACATTCAAACACACTAACGAAATTCTCTCATTCTTTTTGCTTGTGTACACCCCCCAGGTTTCCAATAAAGCAGTTGCCCATAGATCCTCTCTCTCTCAGCTCTACCTGGTTGGCTGAGCCTACTTCCCTGGAGCTACTCCCATACGGCTTCTTGAGCAGCATGCCACTCCTTTCTCTCTAAGATATGAGTGTAATAAATCATTTTATTTCATATGCCTCTGAGAGTGTAATTTCCAGGGCAGTGTGGGAATGATCCTTAAAGGCTCCACGAGGGGAACTTACTTTCCCATTTGTAATACAATCCTTCAGCAAGTAGGGGACATTTCTAAATGAAAATGTGATTGACTCTGATCTCAGCTGACAGCTAAAGAAGGTTCTCAGTCTTTATGCCTGTGATGTTTCAGTGTGTATGGTCTTTCATCACTTCCTACAGTTGACATATGGCAGTGCCTAACACACTGGAATGGCTTCTCTGTTTACATCCTTCTGCTTTTCTTTTCTCTCCTTGTTTTGAGAATAGGCAACATTCTAAGTGGACTTAAGAGGAAAGAAAATCCTCATTAAACTGGTAATAAACAATTTTATTTTGTCTTTAGAAAATCTTCTCAATATTTTTTTCTTAAAAATTACATAAGAAAAGGAAAAAGCCCTAGAAGTTCAGATCTAGCATGTAAGGCATAAGACCCAGAAAGGCAAATTTTAAGGTATCCCAAGAAACATGTCATTCTTAGAGAATTTCTAGAATTATTTAAGGAAAGCACACAAACAAAAACAAGAATCCCAGTGCTGTATAATATACAAAAATTAGGCAGAGTAAATACTTTATAATGAATGGGTTTCAAACTTTAATTAATGAGTTATAGGGGGCATAAAACGGAGGTTTTCTGCCAGGCATGATGGCTCACGCCTGTAATCCCAGCACTTTGGGAGGCCAAGACAGGCAGATCGCTTGAGGTCACGAGTTTGAGACCATCCTGGCCAACGTGGTAAAACCCTACCTCTACTAAAAATACAAAAGTTAGCTGGGCATGGTGGCCAGTGCCTGTAATTCCAGCTACTTGGGAGGCTGAGGCAGAAGAATCGCTTGAACCCAGGAGACGGAGGTTGCAGTGAGCCAAGATTGTGGCACTGCACTCCAGCCTGGGTGACAGAGGGAGACTCCGTCTCAAAAAAAACAAACAAAAACAACAACAACAACAACAAAAAACAAACAGAGCTTTTCATCCCCTCTGTTCCCAGTACTGTGGCTGCTTCTCATATTATATTAGTTTGCTGGAATATGACTAACATGACTAACTGCAACACATACCCACCCCCCGCCCCCCCAAAAAAAATCAGGAATAGAAGAGATGAAGCCATCCACAAAAGTCAGCAAGCAAGACACAAACCTATAGTTCTTAAATAACTAGTTTTCTTGGCTTTACAATATGCCACCTCATTTATTGCTCCCAAGAGCTTTGTGAGGTAGGCACACTTTTTCCTATAGTAGACTAGTAAAATGAGATTTAGAGATATCAAATCCTCTGGACTGAGTGTTGATGCCCCCGAAAATTTGTATGTGAAAATCTTAACCCTCAGTGTGATGATATTTGGTGGTGGAGACTTTGAGAAGTGATTAGATCATGAGGTAGAGCCTCATCAGTGGGTTAGTGTCTTATAAAAGAGATCTCAGAAGGCTTGGTGTGGTGACTCGTGATTCGAGTTGCAGCACTTTGAGAGGATGAAGCAGGAAGATGGCATAAAGCCGGGAGTTTGATACCAGCCTGGGCAATTATGCAAAACTCCCATCTCTACAAAAAAAAATAATAATAATAAGATTAGCTGAAAATGGTGGTGTGCACTTGTAGTCCCAGCTAATTAGAAGGCTTACGTATGAGGATCAAAGGAGCCCAGGAGTTTGAGGCTGCAGTGAGCTATCATCACACCTCTGCACTCCAGCCTGGATGACAGAGGGAGACCACATCACTGAAAGATAATAATAGGGTTTTTTTTGTTGTTTTGCTTTGTTTTTGCAACCCCAGAGTGTGTGCTCTCTCTCTCTCTCTCTCTTCTGCTTTTCTGATAGCAAAACAGTGACTACACTTACCAATAATTTATCGCATTAAAAACAACGGGAAAAACCGCAGTACTTTTCCACCAACCTAATACATTTTAAAATAAATAAAAGAGTGTAATTGGATTGTTTGTAACATGAAGAATTAACGCTTGAGGTGATGGCCCCTACTTATCCTTATGTGATTATTGTGCATTGTATTTCTGTATCAAAATATCTCATCTACTTCATAAATATATAAACCAACCATGTACCCATAAAAATTAAAAATAAACGGAAACCTGTTTTTAATTAAATCCTTTAAAATAAATTATGAAGAGGTGTGTTGTTACTTTCTACATAGCTTATTTGGTGCTAGCTTTCTCATATGTATTTGCCAACTAAGGTCTACCTGCCATCCCTACTCCCCATGCCTTGGCACCCCTATGATCATCTGGAACAGTGTTCAATGAAACATGAAACTTAAATTATAAAGAAAATTCAATTAAAGATTTGAAGCCAAGTGGTAGTTGGTGAGGAAGGAGGAATATAATGTTTGTGGCCAGATATCTCAAATTGCAATCTCAGCTTTGCCTTTAATACCTAAGGTACATTAGGCTTTTAGGCAAATTACATGTATTAGTTGGTTTGGGCTGCTGTAATAGAAGATCATACACTGGGTGGCTTAAACAACAACCCATTTTTTTCTCATAGTTCTGTAGGGTAGGAATTCCAAGATTAAGGCACTGGCTGATTAGGTGTCTAGAGAAAGCCCTCTTTCTGATTCATAGACTGCTGTATTTTGGCTGAAATGATATCTCGTAATTTTCACTAGCATTTCTCTGATAATCAATGATGTTGAGCACCTTTTCGTATACCTGTTGGTTATCTGTATGTCTTCTTTTCAGACAGATCTTTTCAGATATTTTGTCCATTTTAAAAATTAGATTATAGTATTTTTTCCATTGTTTGAGCTCCCTATATATTCTCTTTCTAATCCATTAACAAATGAATAGTTTGCAAATAATTTCTCCCATTCTTATGGTTATCATTTTACTTTGTTGATTGTTTGCACTGATGTGCATAAGCTTATTAACTTGATGTGATCCAATTTTTCCTTTTTTTCCTTCGTTGCCTACTCTTTTGGGAAATCACTCAAGAAATCTTTCCCCAAACCAATGTCTTAGAGAGTTTCTTCAATGTTTTTTGTGGAGTAGAGTCATTATTTTAGATATTAGATTTAAGTCTTTAATCCATTTTGATTTGACTTTTGTGTACAGCAAAATATAGGGGTCTAGTTTCATTATTTGCATGTGGATATCTAATTTTCCTAGCACGATTTATTGAAGAGACTGTCCTTTCCCCAATGTATGTTCTTAGCAATTTTGTAAAAAATAAGTTCACTATAGATGTATGGGTTTATATTTTGTATTCTCTATTCTATTCCATTAATTTTATGTGTATATTTTTTATGGCACTGCCTTGCTGTTTTGGTTACTATAGCTCCATAGTGTATTTTGAAGTCAGGTAAGGTTATTCCTTCAGTTTTCTTCTTTTTGCTCAGAATAGCTTTCGCTATTCCAGGATTTTTGTGATTCCATAAAAATTTTAGGATTTTTTTTCTATTTCTATGAAGAATGTCACAGGTATATTGATAAGGATTGCATTCAATCTGTAGATTATTTTGGGTAAAATTGACATTTTAACAACATTGATTTATCTAATCTGTGAACATGAAATGTCTTCATTTTTTGTGTTCTCCTCATTTTTGCATCAATTTTTAAAATAGTTTTGATTGTAAAGATCTTTCACTTCTTTGGTTAAGTTTATTCATAGGTATTTCATTTTATTTGTAGCTATTGTAAGCTATTATAAGTGTAAAAAAGTAAGCTATTACTTTTTTATTTATTTTTCAGATTACTCATGGTTGACATATAGAAATGGTACTAATTTTTGTATGTTGATTTGGTATCCTGCAACTTTAATGAATTTGTTCATCAGTTCTAATAGTATTTTTTTTGTGGAGTCTTTAGGTTTTTCCAAATATAAGATCATGTCAACTGCAAACAAAGATAATTTAACTTCTTCCTATCCAATTTGGATGTTCTTTATATATTTGTCTTGTCTGATTGCTCTACCTAGGACTTCCAGCACTATGTTGAATAATCGTGGTAAAAGTGGACATGCTTGCTGTGTTCCAGATCTTAGAAGCAGTCTTTCAGTTTTTTTCCTATTCAGTATGATACTAGCTGTAGGTCTGTCATATATCCCTTTTATTGTGTTGAGATAGGTTCTTTCTATATCCAGTTTTTTTTTTTTGAGGGCTTTTATCATGATGGGATGTTGATTTTTATTAAATGCTTTTTTCAATATTAATTGAAAGTATCATGTGGGTTTTCTCCTTTATTATGTTGATATGGTGTATCACATTGATTGATTTGTGTATATATAACCATTCTTGCATCCTTGGCAGAACCCCCACTTTGTCATGATGAATGATCTTTTTAATGTGTCACTGAATTTGGTTTGCTAGTATTTTGTTGAGGATATTTGCATCAATGTTCATCAGGGAGATTGGCCTGTAGTTTCCTTCTTTTAATGTTTCTTTCTTTGATTTGGGTATCAGGGTAATAATGACCTTGTAGAATGAGTTCGAAAGTACTACCTTTCTCTCCCTCTCTCTCTCTCTCTCTCTCTGTCTCTTTTGAACAGTTTGAGTAGGATTGGTATTTGTTCTTTTAATGTTTGGTAAAATTCAACAGTAAAGCTATCAGGTCCCTGGCTTTTCTTTGAGGGGAGATTTTTTATAATGGCTTCGATATCATTATTTGTTATTGATTGGTTTGGGTTTTGTATTTCTTCATGTTTCAATCTTGATAGGTTGTGTATTTCCAGAAATTTATCCATTTCTTCTAGATTTTCAAATTTATTGGCATATAGTTGCTCATAGTAGCCCCTAATGATTCTTTGTGTTTCCACAGAATTGGTTTTGAGGCCTTAATTTTCATCTTTGATTTTATTTATTTGGGTTTTCTTTCTCTCTTTCTTTCTTTCTTTCTTTCTTTTCTTTCTTTCTTTCTTTCTTTTAGTTAGGCTAAATGTTTGTTGTTTGTTGACTTTATTTATCCTATCAAAAACAGCTTTTCATTTCATTGATCTTTAGTATTTTTTTCACTCCAATTTCACTTATTTCTGCTCTGATCTTTTTTATTTCTTTTCTTCTATTAATTCTGGGTTTGGTTTTTCTTGCTTTTCTAGTTCTTTAAGATGCATTGTTAGGTTTTTATTTGAAGTTTTTCTGCTTTTTTTTTTGATGTAGGTGTTCATTGCTATAAGGTTTCCTCTTGTTACTGCTTTTGCTGTATCCCATACATTTTGTTATGTTTTGTTTCCATTTTTTTTTTTGTTTCAAGAAATTTTTTAATTTACCTCTTAATTTCTTTATTGATCCACTGGTTATTTAGGGATATATTGTTTAATTTACATGTGTTTCTATAGTTTTCCAAATTCCTCTTGTTATTGATTTCTTGTTTTATTCCATTGTGGTCAGAGAAGACACTTCATACACTTTCAATTTTTTTTGAATTGTTAAGACTTGTTTTGTAACCTAACAAATGGTCTATCCTTGAGTATGATTCATGTGCAGAGGAGGAAGAATGTGTATTCTGCAGCTGTTGGATAAAATGTTCTGTAAATAACTATCAGATCCATTTGGTTTATATGATAGACCAAATCTAGGTGATTCAGGTCTGTCTTTCCTACAATTTTCAGTGCCTTTTTTCTTAATATGATGTTAAAACCAGGTGCTGTGATTGCTCACCAGATGTTTGGTTTTTATGAGGGTGCTTTTTGTGTGGAGAGTTGTTCAATTTGTTGTTCTTGTTGGGGTAAAAATAGCTGGGGGTTTCTATTCAGCCATCTTGCTCGGCCTTCTCTAAGACAGTTTTTAAAAAAATATTTATTGAGTTTCTACTATAAGTAAAACAAACAAGTCATTGGTCAACTCTAACAATATGTTATGTGTACTTATGAAGCTTAGAAAACAAAAGTCAAAGCAGATGTTGATATTAATTAAATAATAGGAAAAATAACTCTTCCTGTTCTTCTGGGACTGTCCCTGTTTTAGAAGGAAAGTCTACCTCCCAGGAACTCCCTCAGTACCAATTCAACATGGTATGCTTGGTAAGCCTATCAAATAATCATATGATAGATACAGAATTACAGCTATCACTATTGTTAAAAGACAGAAAAGCATGAAGTTACAGATTTCTATGATGGTGAAGGGCCTGATTGGAGGTCTAAAGTGTATTCTCCATAGAAAGGAAATGTGAAAAAATAGTCAAAGAAAGAGGAGGTGCTCACCTGATACATATTGGAAGAAAAGTTTTATGTAGTGAAATTGGCATTTAAGAAGGATCATGGTAGAAGATAGCTTGTTTAGTGTGAGAGCTATACAAAGTCAGTGTGGCTGGGGCCCACGAACCAAGCGGCTCATGGTGAGACATGCGTCTGAATTACACACCAGGATTCAGACCAGACTCAGCAAGCGTTTTCTATAAAGTGTCATATGGTATAAAAAATTGTAAGACAGCTTTAAAGATTTCCAGAATTGTTGTATAGGCTCCTCGTTCCAAATATTAAATCAAACATGAATCCAACCACTTCTGGAAAGGAAATGTTATTAAGGTCCCAAATCAGGTGACCTTAAGATAGAGAGGTTATCCTTTTGGGCCTGACCTATCACATAAACATTTAAATCTTAGTTCTAGAGGTCAGAAATAGAGGAATTCAGAGATTTCCAGCACAAGGGGATTTAACTCACAAGACATTCTCCATTGCTGCCTTTAATATGGAAGAAATCATGTGGCAAGAACTGTGGGCAGCCCTAGGAGCTGAAAGCAGCCACTAATGATAACTATTAAGCAACTGGGAGTCTTGCCACTCAAAGGAATTGCATTTTCTAAACGGGCAGTTAGAGGAAGACCCTAAATCTTAAATAATACAGTAGCTCTAGACAACATCTTGATTTCAGTCACGTGAGACCCTGAACAGAGAACACGGTCATACTGTGCCAACTCCTGACACATAGAGACTGGGAAATAACATACTTTTGTTGTTTCAAGCTAATAATTTTGCAGTGATTAGTTATGCAGTAATAGAAAACAAACACAGTAAATATAGTAATTCTTTTTTAACTACTGGGCATTACAGTTTCTGCTGCAACTAGTCAACTATGTCATTATAGTGCAAAATCAGCCATAGATAGTACATAAATGAATATGTATGTCTATACTCCAATAAAATTTCACTTACAAATAAAGTCGTAAATATATTTGGCTTTTGTGTTATAATTTTCAGACTCCTAATATAGAAAATCTAAGGAGTTGTATACATTGTTAAGGAGTTTTTGCTTTAGCCTAACTAAAATGGAAAAGCATTGTATGGCTTTAGGGTGGTGATAAATGATTGCATTTACATTTTGAAGATCAATCTGCCTAAGACTTTGGTAATGAATAATTGAATGAAGTAGATCAATATGAAAAGTGTAGAATAATTTTTTGGCTATTGCACTTGATATCTCTTGCTAGGAGAATGGTTACCGGAAGAGTGATAGGGAAAATCTTCAATCTGGGCACGTGTGTGAATATGCATGCATGTGTGTGTGTTTCCATTCATATACAGGTATAAACTCTCTACAAAGATAGGAGTTGTGTTTTGTGACATTTTTGCTCTAATGAATAAACAGATTCTGCAACATTTGTAATGTAACTCTAAAAAAAAATGACTGAGCTTTTTCTACGACAATGGCATCACATTGATTAAATGAACATTTCCTGTACCTAGTGGATTCATATGAATTATAGGGAAGAAAACGGCTCTACTGACCCGGTGATTTAATGTTCTCTTCCTAACAACTTGCAAAACTTTATAAGATGATGAGAAGGATATCACCAGAGGCATTTTGAAATGGTCTGAAAATTGATCAAGGCTAGACAACAGCTTCCTTATTGCCTTACCTCTTCTCACACAATGCTGTTTGAAATAGTATTTTGGGCCAGGCACGGTGGCTCAGGCCTGTAATCCCAGCACTTTGGGAGGCCGAGGTGGGTGGATCACCTGAGTTCGGGAGTTCGAGACCAGCCTGACCAACGTGGAGAAAACCTGTCTCTTCTAAAAATACAAAATTAGACAGGCGTGGTGGCACATGCCTGTAATTCCAGCTACTTGGGGGGCTGAGGCAGGAGAATCACTTGAACCTGAGAGGTGGAGGTTGCAGTGAGCTGAGATTGCACCATTGCACTCCAGCTTGGGCAACAAGAGTGAAACTTCATCAAAACAAAGAAAGAAGGAAAGAAAGGAAGGAAGGAAGGAAAAGGAAGGAAGGAAGGAAGGAAGGAAGGAAGGAAAAAGAGAAGAAAAGAAAGAAAGACTATTTTTAAAAGCCTTTATATTGGAGTATTTTCCTAAGTACTGAATGGTCTCTTATGAAATAAGACACCCCGCTCAATAATTGACACATAGCAGGTATCAAGTGAATTTTAGTGGAATTGGAATCCAACTTGGCTAAAATAAAGACAGTTTTTATTGAACCTAGGTTTAATATACTAAACAAAGTCAGTAACTATGGTGAATACCAAGCTATTTAGAGTTCAGCATTACTTTTCTTCAAAAAGAAATGCAAAATTAAAAGAGAAAAATGTTGCAAGACATTTCTCCCTGGGTCTTTCATATTCCTACATGTGTTGCTGTGTGCTACGCTTCAAGACATTGACCACTCTTTACCTTGGACCATTTTTCAGTGTAATGTTTACAGCAAGCAATTGAGGGATGAGTTAACATCTCCCCTAGGAACAAAGGCTTATTTGCTGACTGCTCACTGTGAAATAGAGAATTTCTTAAGCTTAGCAATCCTCTTTTGTGATACAATCCATGATTTATGCAGGCACCTGTGTAGGCCCTCTGCATGGATTTGGGAGGCAAGTGGAATTAACAGAAACATGCTAATACTCATGCTACCTGCTGTGTCATGAGTAATGAAATTCTTTGTCTCTGAGTGAGAAGTTCATATCTTCTGTCAGTATCTGTCATAGAGTATTTGGACTTACTTTATCATGTTATAAATAAAGAATGATTCCCAGTGCAGAAAAAAGTTTTCAAGGTTTTATATCTTGCATAAATATTCCAGGTTGACTACTTTGAACAACATGTTCTCAAATATTTTCCCAAATATTTATGAAAGGATATCATAACTAGTGACATAAATCATGATAATGTTATGGTTGACAAAGCATTCTTTCAAAAGGTTGCTTTAGTTCCTCAAACTTTAAGTTAACTAAGAAAGATATTATCATTCCAAGTATAAATGTAAACGTTGCTCAGAAGGTTTTTACAATGTTTTTCAAAGCAGTGTAGTGTTTAAAAGTTAGGTTCCTACTTATAATTTGAAGATTCTGACTTCTGTTGTTTAAACGTATTATTTATAAAAATAGTACAGTGAAAAATACATTTATTGTAATTATTGATTCATGTATTTATTAGCAACATTTCTCAAAATTTATTGTGTTATGCTAATTGTATAACGTTATATAATATGTGTTCTGTGTGTGCGTGTGTGTGTGTGTGTGTGAGAAAATCAATTGCACATAATACGTAGCAGATACAATGCAGACAAGTGGTTAGAATGTCTAGTTTGTTTTATAAGGTAAATAAGAAAGTTTTGTTTGGTTGGTTGACTTTGCTTCATAGCTCAAATATGTTTTTTGAAATAATTTTGGGAATTTTAATTGTGCTTTCAGTGATTGAGTCAAAGATAGGAAGGAGAAAAGGGTAAAGTCAGGAAAAGAGTTGGTGAGAACCGTCAACTTTCACACAGAGACCCAGGTATTGGAACCTCAGATTGAACCAAATCCCAGGTTCTTTTGTTTCCTTGGGGGAGTAAATCACAAAATTTATTTAAAGTCCTCTTCATAGCTTGCAGTGCTCTGAATATCATGTTTCAAGTGTATGAGTAAGCTTTGTATATTCCTTATAGTGAATGCTTGGATTCCTTATTGACACATAGATTGAAGTTCTTAATTGTCAAGACTAAGAGGCAATTGAAGGAATAACTTGGTGAAATGCTCTAGTTAAGAGACAAAAATTTGCTCATTTTTTAGATTTTGGTGCCTAGCACAGTGCCTTGAGCTAAAGAAAGTGTACACCCCCCCCCCCACACACACAAACACACACACACATACACATACACAAACACATGCACACACAAATGGATAAAAAATAGAACAGAGGGAGACTGGGTGCAGTGGCTCATGCCTGTAATCCCAGCACTTTGAAGGCTGAGACAGGGCAGATCCCCTGAGGTCAGGAGTTCGAGACCAGCCTGGCCAACATGGTGAAACCCCGTCTCTATTAAAAGTACAAAAATTAGCCAGGTATGGTGGCATGCACCTGTAATCCCAGCTACTTGGGAGGCTGAGGGAGGAGAATCGCTTGAATCCGGGAGGCAGAGGTTGCAGTGAGCTGAGATGGTGCCACTGACTTCCAGCCTGGGTGACAGAGCGAGACTCCATCTCAAAAACAAAACAAAACAAAAAAATAAAAAATAAAAAAAAGAGAGAGAGAGAGAGTGAAAGGAGGGCATGAGAAAAGAAGATTGAATGAAAAGGTCAAGGAAATTATTTAAGACAGTTGATGAAGCAAGCATGAACTTTAAACCACCTTTGGATGGATTTCCTCCCATTTAATAAAAAAAATCATATTAATAAAATCACAAACATACAGGAATTATTATAAAATCTGTATTTATTTGTAAGGAGAAAGAGGAGAAATCAGGCAAACGAACTAGGAGAGAGAGGATAAATTACATAAAATTTAAAAAAGTTGGGGGGGCTAAATAATAGTTAAGGAAGAGAAAATATAAAAGAGAACAACCAGGAAGAAAAAGGCATAGAGAGGCTAGACAGAAAGAAAGAAAGAAAAAAAGGAAAATAAAAGAAAAGTCAAACTTTTAGTTTAGCTTCACTTTCTTTCTACATGATTAGTAAATCAACAGGGGAGACAGAACCTTAGAGCCGGAAGAGAGAGGAGAAAATAGCTGCTTTTCAGACACTTGACTTAATCACGCCTGGTCTCTAGCTGGCAGCCTCCGCATATTCCCCTGACAGCACCTGGAGAAGGTTCCTGTACAACACCGAAGGGGTGATGGGAAAGTATGACATGTGGCACCAGGGCAAGATCTGATCCTTGACAAATGAAATCTGTCAGCCATCTCCTCAAAGGCTGCCACCTTTCATATCCCTGCTTGGCTGAGCTAGCTTTATATAGAGACTTATGGTATTATTCAGCTGGTTTGATTTTCCTTTTTATGACAACCCTCCCCTGGAGACCATCCATCTCTTACAATCCTGGAGAATGACTCTAACTGAATGATATTTTAATGTAATTTATAACTCTCTACTGTAAACACAAATGCGGGTTGTTTCTTAGCACTGGAAGTAATGCTAGTGGCCAGTCTTGAGCCTTTATTATTTTGAATGAAGTTAGTACCAAAATGGTTGAAGAATTTAGATAGGAAATTTTAATAGAGCTCAAAGAAAGAAGAAACAAATGCAAAACGAATAAACAAACATAAACACTCCGAAAAAAATCGAAAGAATGAGTTTTAGCTTTCTATGATTATTAATTTTGTATTGTTGAACTTCACAGGCAGTTATGAAGATTATGTAAATAATTCATGATTAAGACTTACTAACAAAGTTGTAGGAAATAGTACCCAGTACTGCATGATTCTAAAGATGCAAGAAACCTTAAGATGTACCTATTCCATTGGAAGATCTAAACTCTTAAGATGTTTATTCTCCCTAAATTTATTATAGATTCACAACAGTTCCAGTCAAAATAGCAATAGAAGGTCTGTTATTTTTTGTTGTTGTTTCTGGAAATTGATGAGAAAGTTTTAAAATTCCTATGGAAATGCACAGGATAACCAAGGTAATCTTGAAGGACACCAAGGTCAAGGGCTTACAGTACCTGATTTCAAGACCTACTATAAAGGTCAGTAATTAAGAAAGTGTGGGCTGGGCGAGTTGGCTCATGCCTGTAATCCCAGCACACACAACACACACACACACACACACACACACACACACACATACACACACATACACAGTGGCTTTTATGCACTTTGGGAGGCCAAGGCAGCGGATCACGATGTCAGAAGATCGAGACCATCCTGGCCAACATGGTGAAACCCCGTCTCTACTAAAAATACAAAAATTAGCCGGGTGGGGTATTGGGTGCCTTTAGTCCCAGCTACTCAGGAGGCTGAGGCAGGAGAATTGCTTGAACCAGGAGGCGGAGGTTGCAGTGAGCCACTGCTTATCTGTGTAGATGTCTGCTTAACATTTACCTCTGTTAAAAAAAATGTTATTCCTGGTGTTGGCCTCTGTTTCATTCTACTCTAATTGTTAAAAATTTATTTCATGTTATTCAGACCAATTTGAAAATTTTCTTATGAATATATTTATCAAAAAATTGTATTCATATTAATTATAATATAATATTAATACAATAATTATAAATAGAGATTTTGGCTATAGGATGCTGTAATCTGAAAATAATATTTTACATGAATAATTGATAATGATTTTACATGTATGTTTTATTGTAAAGTTTGACTATGTGGTTAAAAATAAGATAATTTTAAGAATAAGCAATTCCATTAGGAAAAGTTTTTGAAGATAGAAGAAATAAGAACTCAAGTAGAGAAAACTGAATATAAAATTTCTGGTAAAGAAATTTTTTTGTGAATGTATAGAATGATTAATAGTGGTTATCAACTTGCTATAGGATTTTCATTTCATTGGATACACTTTATAAGAATGATTTAAATGTCTTACTTAAAAATGTTAGTATTTAAAGTGTGCCAAGTATTATTACAACACTTGCAACTACCTGCTCTTAAAATGAAATGTTATTTGTCAATTTAAATACATGAAAGGGAGTGAGGTTTTCAGAATTCATTTGGAAATACACAAACAAAAAAGTTGAAGACCACTGTCTGAGAACATAAAAGTAGCTATCTAGAAACTGTCACCATGTGGACGAGCACAGAATTCCTGCTGTCCTACAAAGTCGTTCCAGGCCTCCTCTGAAACTCTCAGGATGAAGTTCACATAGGAACACCCTATGGCCTCAATGACTTCTGCAGCCTCATTTCCTGGGTTCTATTTTCCATACTCACGTAGAAGGATCCCCAAAGACAGAACACAGGGTACTTTTCTGAAAGACCCCAGCCTGTTTCCCAGAGGGCTTGCTGTTTCTGCCTTGAATTCACTCTACACACCAAATGAACAAGCTAACAATTCCTGCTCCTCAAAATTCAGCTCAGCATCATCCCCTCCTCTGGAAACACTCCTAGGTGACCACATAAAGATTTGTATTTTTGTTAGGATTAGAACCTTTACTGAGTTAAATATTTGTCTTCACCAATGTCAAAATTTATGTACTCCTTCAGGGCGGGGCTTTTCTGGTTTTGTTCTGTTTTTTGTTTTTGTTTTTCTGCTTTGCTTCCCTCTTTAAAATTTGAGGGTTTAAACGCTATCTATTTTACAACACGCAAATGATTGTAGAATGATTGAATTTAAGAATAAACACACATTGAATTTACTTTTCTTTTTCCATAGAGCGAGTTCATGCATTTGAAATTACTGAAAAGGCATATCTTAATGACTTCAAATTTTAAACTTGATAATACTTGAAAAGCAAATTTCTGTTTTATTTTCAAAATATTAAATTATTTAAGAAATATTAGCTACATAGAATGCCAGAGAGACTTACAGTATTAAAAAGATAATTCTGTAATTATAGATATTATACTTTGATTTTCTTAGTAAATAAGTCTTCCTAAAGGCAGCATTCTCTAAGTATTTTGAGATGGGTTCTGCAACCCTGCTATTAATTTTCTGTGGTACAGTGTCTGCTCTAATTATTAGAATTCACAGTATTGTGCTGTCTTAAATATCCTATCTATTTGGAAAATCTATAATGAAATGATTTGATTTGATTTGCTCATGATGGCTAAAAAGATTAAGATGAGTAAGCAGTAAACCCTAGCAAACCTTTAAAAAAATCAAAAAAATAAAAATCCTTACCCTGCAATCCACCTCTAGTGCCAGGTTTAGGACCGAATGGCTGATAGAATGGATGACTGATTGGCAAACAGAAATATTCATGGCTGCCAAGCTGACGGAGGAGACTTATTCACTTGCTCAATCCCTCCCTGGCTCAGGGGTTGACTGGCTGGCTGACTAGAGCTGCCTGGCAGACTGGCTAGTTAACTTGCTAGCTGACTGGTTGGCTAGCTGCAGGGATGGTTTCCTGACTAGCTAAGTGCCCGATTAAAGGGATGACAAGTTGCACAGCTGCCTGCTACACTAGCTCAGAGGTCGGTCAGTTGTCTGACTGACAGTTTGCCAGACTAAATTAATAACCGATGTGCAAGATCACACATATTCTGGAGGTGGTCTCAGCTGCATACTCACACTCACTCAGGCTGCAAGATTATGCAAATATCCAGACCACATTTGTGTAGCCTGTGACTGCATAAAATTCACAGCTCCATTTGAGAAGACTTTTTATACCTGAGGAACTCAAAATTCCTGATGTTTAATATTCTATAACCAGAGACCATTTGAAAAGAACTGGGGCTCTGTCTATGGATGGTTTATGTGCTAGGGCAAAAGTAAAAATGAATGCGTTAGGGTGTTTGCTTAAATCTAAAAGAGGCCAGCCATAGGTGGTGAGGGTGTAGATGATCAGTAGCCGTTTTGTAAGAGTTAGTAAGTTTCCTTCCCATGTTAGAGAAATGGGTAATAAATTTTCCTGTGGTGACACAGATTCATGTAATCAGACCGACTACATCTCTCAGGGAGTCAATCTTATAAAGAAAAATAAGTATGCCAGGCATGGTGGCTCAAGCCTGTAATCCCAGCATTTTGGGAGGCCGAGGCGGGCAGATCACCTGAGGTCTGGAGTTCGAGACCAGCCTGACCAACATGGAGAAACCCTGTCTCTACTAAAAATACAAAATTAGCTGGGCACGGTGGCACATGCCTGTAATCCCAGCTACTCAGCAGCCTGAGAGAGGAGAATAGTGTGAATCCAGGAGGCAGAGGCTGTGGTGAGCCGAGATCGAGTCATTGCACTCCATCCTGGGCAACAAGAGCGAAAATCCATCACACACACACACACACACACACACACACACACATACACACACACACATTGATTAAAAACAATTCAACCAGTATTCATCTATCCATTAAGGAACTGCTCCCCCTTTTCCTGTGTTCTAATGAAATTATCCGTCAAAGTGCCTTGTTCACCTATCAACCTGATGGATTCAGTCCAAATCCTCTTTCCAAAGAGTTAACAGAGGGATTTAGCAATATAGATTATGTCATGTTCTTAGAGGGGAATTCCCTAGTTGTAGGGACCCTTTTGGTCAAGTTTCTGAAGGCTCTTTTTTCAGAACTAAGACGTTTCCAAGTAGAAAATAAAGCCAATAAAAAGAAAGAAGAGCTGAGACAAAGAGGTAAGAGAAACAAAGCATAGAAAAGAGGGGAGAAGATAGTAAAAGGGGGGACTCCCAACTGCCCAACTTCGGAAATTCTATTCAGACACACCCAAATTGGACACTGGACTTTCCAATATTGTGATTCAACAAAGTCCCTCTCATCCTGAGCTGATTTTGAGTCCTCTCACGTGTAATAAAAATGTTCAGAATAATATAGAGCCACAGTTTCTTTAAATTATGTTGATAGATTGATTCATTATTTTAAAAAATATTTGTTTAAAACTTACAAGATGGAGGTAATACAATGGTATGCAAATTATATTAATGCGAAGCAATATAAAGAAAAATATCACTACCTAAAATATACAAAAAATTACCATCGCAAAATAATTATCACTAGCAGAGCATGTCAAAAATAGAAGGACTTTGACAGGTATGTGTGGGTAATAGAAGGTTTATGATTAAAATATTTTCAATAAATACTATTTCTCTCTTTTTTTGACTGTAATAATCGAGTCATTACCTGTATTTTTTGTGAGTAAATAAACATGTCTTGAGTTTAATCAGCATAACCAAAATAACTGATTTTGCATGTGTATCATTACTAAAAATGTCTTCTTACTGGGCCTTTATCTGCTTGGTAGGTGCCTCTTACCCATTAAAGTCCATCAAAATAGCTTCAAGCTCTGTTATTTTATCTAAGAATCTCTCTCTCCATGTGTATCTCAGGTTACCATGTGTTCTTTCTTTAGTGTTTCTGACTTACTAAGTAATATGCGTTTAACTTAATCATAATTTCACATAATAATTATTGTACATATTTTTGTGTGTGCTGAGTTTGTCCAGGATGGAAAAGACTTATTTTACATCTTATGTCTCTCAAAGATTTGTCTGGTACTTAATTTATATGAAGTGGCCAATAAATGCTAATTATAAAATTGAATAAACAAAATATATTAACTCAAATATGAGATATTTAGCTTCACTCCTTCAATGATCTTTTTTTCTTTGCAAGTATAAGCCAAAGCAAATTTAGCTAATGATAAATATCTATGTAATTCATAATGAGCATTAACTTTTTGCTTTTCTCATCTCTTATTTTCTTTTTGAGTTAAAAGATTCCCTGGGAATGAAGTTTAAAAACTCTTATGATTCTATTAGTGTGGATAACTGGCATTTTATAATATTTAATTATCAAATAATCTTTCAGAGCCCTTAAGTTATTTGAACTCATGAAGGATGTAGAAAATCACACATAATCGTATTTTGTAATCAACCAGAAAGAAATTGTCAGTGTTCACTGTAAAACATTTGTAACTAAGTTGTTAGTTTATGAGGGTTAAATTAGGCCAAATATAATATTTCACTCTGTGTATTCTCAATATTTCTGCATATTAAATTAAGATGACCTAAATTCACTTAAGGTCCATACATCTATTACCCTAATGACCCCAAAGCCAAGTCACGCCATGACATTTCTGCTAGTCATGCCAAGCCATTTCTCTCATGTTTATTTTGTAAAATGTGGATAATAAGGAGGATCCCATAAGATTTTTCAAAGAATGTAATAGATATGCCTGCATGTATGTGTAGACAGACAAATATAGACATATAAATATTTTATCCTAAAATTTCTCTGTCTCTATATATATGATGCATATCATATATTATATATATGAAACTTAGAACAAGTTCTGGCCTTGGTAACTTCTGTATATGGTTTTCTGTTTACTCATAGCGATGATAACTCCTGTTTTAGCTTCATTAGCCAGAAACTAGAACTGGAGGAAAAGGGACTACAGTTCAAGGAAGCAGACCAACAAAAAGAATACTAAATCGGAGAAGGCAAGACAGCCAGTATATCATGGGACAGTTTTCTGAGAATCTGCTTAAGCACTGCATTTAGTAGTCCTTTCAGGATAAGGCATGAGAAAATAAATATATGAGCCAGCTTTATCCCTCACATATCAAACATTAAGTCCCCGTGGCATTAACTTTATTGTACTTCTGAGTTGTGTTTGGGCATGAAGGGAGTCTCATACTCAGCATTAATAGTATAATCCTGGGGTGAGAAGGAAAGATGTATGTTACCCATTTAAAATACTAAAAGCATGTTACTCATACAAAAGATGTAACAAATGCATAATTAGAGCATCAGAAGAACAAAGAGAAAACTGAGAAAGAAATACTTCAAGTAATAATGACTAAAAACTTTCCAAAATTTATTATAGTCACAAAACTATGGATTTAGAAAGCTCAGGGCTCACAAAGCAGAAAAAGACAAAAACTATAACTGAATGTAGCATAGTTAAACCGTAGAAAAACAAAGACAAGTAAAAAATCTTGAAGGAAACCAGAGCAGGGTGGAAGAACTCCCTTCATATAGAGGAGCAAGGATAAGAATTTCACAGTGACTTTCTAACCAGAAACCATGGAAGCAAGACGACATCTGACTGAAATGCAAACTATCAAAATTCACACAAAGTGAAACGGACAACTTGCAAATCCCTATATCTATTAAAGAAGAGTATTCAATAATTAATAACCTTCTGAAAAGCAAACCACCATGGACAGATGGTTTCATTGGTGAATTCTATCCCACATTTAAGTAAGATAATACCAATTTTCTACAATATTTTACAGAAATACAGGCAAAAGCAAAACTTTCCAAATAATTCTGAGGCCAGACTTAATAATATCAAACCAGATTGGCATTATAGAGAAAGCAAAACATTATGAACACAGTATAAGAAGGAAAAAAATCTACAGGTTGATATCTCTCATGAACATAGTCATTAAAATCCTCAAGAAATATTAGCAAATTGAATCCAAAAATAGATATACAGAATTTTACAACATAACTGGTTGAGATTTATTCCAGGAACACAGCATTCCTCAACATTTATAAGACAAACAGTGTATCTACCATATTAACAAACTAAAAGTGAAAAAAGTTGTATAAACAGAAAAAACAAGGGACAAAAGTTCAACAAATATGTATGATTTTAAAAAAACTTAGCAAATTTAGAATGGTGAAGAACTTCTTCAAATTGATATAGAACATCTGCAAATAACATACATAAAACATTATATTTAAGGTTAAAAAACTGGATACTGTCTCCTGGAAAGCAAGAGCACAAGTAAAGCAAAAAAAAAATTTTTTTTTTTTTTTTTTGAGATGGAGTCTTGCTTTGTCACCAGGCTGGAGTGCCGTGGCACGATCTCGGCTCACTGCAACCTCTGCCTCCCGGATTCAAGCGATTCTCCTACCTCAGCCTCCCTAGTAGCTGGGACTACAGGCACGTGCCACCATGCCCGGCTAATTTTTGTATTTTTAGTAGAGATGGGGTTTCACTATGATGGCCAGGATGGTCTCAATCTCTTGACCTCCTGATCTGCCCACCTCAGCCTCCCAAAGTGCTGGGATACAGGTGTAAGCCACCGCACCCGGCCAATTTTTTTTTTTTTTTACCACTCCTATTCAACATCTTATTGAAAGTCCTAACTAGTGCAATAAGATAAGAAAAGGAAAGGAAATGTACACAGATTGGAAATAAAGATCTCTATCTGCAGATGGCACGATTGTCAAATGGATACAGGAGTCAACTGAAAGCTTACAATGACCAAAGCTGAAAAAATAACAAAACAAGGTAGTGCTGCATTATAACACAAAATATAAAATAAATATTCATGAGGCCATACTTATATAAATATGATTGAATAAATAAAGAGAATTCTCTTTACAGGATTATTCAAAATATTTTAAATTACAGTCTGTAAATAAGAGGTAGACCATAATTGCCATTCCTTAGGTATAGACTATCCATAGTGATTGTCTTTCCAGACAATGTGGTATAGAAAGGAAGAACAAAAGAGAAGAAATTCATAGTGAAACAACCTGATAAATAACTTCTCAAGCCAGCTGACCAAGGTTAACATTAACAGTGATTAGTTATATTGACTGCATGCACTTTTATAGGAGGCGATATAAACAGCACTTCCTCATCTCTACTGTCTTCCTCCCAAAAAACCTTACCCCAGGCTAATCATGAGAAAACCATGAGACAAAAATACCAACTAAAAGCCATTCTATAAAATACTTGTCCAGTAATCCTCAAAAATGTCAAGGTCTTCAAAAATAAGGGAAGCGTGAGAAACTGTCATAACTAATAGGAGCCTCAGAAGATACAACTACTAAATGTAATGTATTCTAGAGGAGCTTTTGACATGTAAAATGAACATTAGGGAAAACCTGGGGAATTACAAATAAACTATGGACTTAAGTTGACAATAATGTATCAAGATCAGTTTTATTAATTGTGATCAGTGTACCAGGATAAAGTTTTAAAAATAGATCAGGGCACATTGGTTCATGGCTATAATCTCAGCTCCTTAGGAGGCTGAGGAGAGAGGAGTGTTTGAGGCCAGGAGTTGAGAACATCCGGGACAACAAAATGGGATTTCTTCTATTAAAAAAAAAATGGGTAAAAAATTAGCCAGGTATGGTGGAGCGTGCTTATGGCTCCAGCTACTTTAGAGTCTTAGGTGGGAGGATTTCCTGAACTCACGAGTTCAAGGATGCAGTGAGCTATGATTGTGTCACTGCACTCCAGCTTGGGCAATAGAGCTTGACCTTCTCCATTAAGGAAGAAGAAGAAGGGGAAGGCGGAGGGGAAGGGGAAGGAGGAGGGAAAGGGAGAGGGGGAGGAGAAAAATTGGGTATAAAGTATACAGAAAGTCTCACTACTATCTTTACAATCATTTCATAAATCTAAAATAGCTGTAAAATTATGTCTATTTATCTATCATTTATCTAGACAGAGAGAGAGTGTGTTCACATGAGAGCGCTACTCAGCTGAATGTGTAAGGTGTGATTTAGGGGAATGAGAACATTACAAGAAAGGTGTTTGGAAGCATTCTGAAGCAAAGATATGTCTTAGGAACTGAAAAACATTTGGTATACCTGGAGAGGAAAGCTTGAGAAAGTATGTGGTAAAATATGAATCTAATCATCCAGAGAAGGGCTATTTCATTAAGGGTTTCATAAGCTATTTTAAAAGGTTTAGTCTTTACATTTAGGATAATGGGAAATCTTCCATGAATTGGAAGCCAATAATCAACTCGATAGTATTTTTGTGTTGGTAGGATAATTCTGATCCAAAGGACCCAAGGGAGGTAAGACCAGGGTATAAGATAGTTCAGGGAAACCATAATGGAGTCCAAGATATGTAAAATGGCAATGGGGATGTAAAAGAGTAGATATAGAAGGAAAATTATATGTGATACTTCTGAAATATTGAAGTTGAGAAATGAGAAATTTGAAAAATCATAGATAATGCCTTTTTCTTTTAAGCAACTAGATTCAAACCTAGGCTTTTAGAATTCAAAGCCATTGTTATCTTACTCTTGCTGCTATGTCATTTGTGATGAGAATATCTAATCCATGTTCCTCTCTTTATAACCATTCTAACATAAGGTTTATGTGTGTGGTGGGGAAGGTGATGGGAAGTAGGAGGTGGACTACGTTTATTTATAGATTTGCAGAGTATAACATTTCTCTGTTTCATAGTACCAAGGAGATTTTAAAACTAACTGGCTCACACACAGGTTTTTCCTAAAAGAATTTCAGCCACCATTTGTGGAATGTGTTCAAAGTGACAGGCAAAGCACTGGAAAACAGGTTCACATTTAATCTTCTAAGTGACTTTGTAAAAATATACTTGAATTCCCATTTTCTAAGATGAAGAAAACAAGTGTAAAATAGGATAAATAAATTGCTAAGGAACTGAAGTTTATTAAGTGTGACAGAATGATTTAAGACTACATTTGCCTAATTCTGAATCCCGTTCTTTTATAAAACATCACATTAACTTCCAGTAATAAAAGCACTCTATGCTATTATAGGAACGGGAAATTCAAAGGAAAGGAGTTGACCCCGTATAAAACCCACCTTTGAAAATTTCAAGTAGCTATATTTATGAGGAGAGTTGAAAAAGAACTAGTGAATAAAGTGGGTTTTTTTACTATCTTAAATGATAACTTCTCAAGGCTTGTTCCTTCAAAAGGCTTGAGTCATTTCTGTTTGAGTGCGTCTTGGTGGAAGGAATGAAAGAGCTTCATGATGACACAGTTCAAGAGTTGCTACATAAATCAGGCAGCATGAATGATCCCATTATCTGGTCATGGATCCCTGGCTGCAAGGAGCTTTTGCTAAAGGTAAATCCACAGATACATCAACATAGGGAGGACCTTCTAAAAGTCAATGCCTGATTCCAATATTAGATGATGGGATGTGTGCGATGACACAGGACAGATTGAAATCTTTTGTGGTGCAAATTTATCACTTTGGATATGACTTTTTATGCTCTGATATAAAAATGACAAGAGAATGTCACAAAGCAGGTAGGGATGAGAAGTCCAAGTAATATTATAAAGAATATACTCAATGGCCAAGAAATGCACCTGCTCAGGTCTCTGGGCCAAGGAAATAAAGCAGAACACCACACAGTTTATTAGGTACTTGGATTCATGGAATAGACCACTCATGTCTGGCATAGACCACAAATTTAATAATTCTCACAATGCAAATTAATTTATGTTTCAGAGAATGTATTTGTTTTCATCACTGAAATGCAGATATCAAGACTTCATTAATCTAAAATAATTTTTGAATTAATTCAATTAGGTCTGGCATGAGAAATGCGGACATACAAATAGAAATATTAGCTAAACATTGATAAGGACACATAATGACTCATGCATTGTACTAAATGCTTTATAGGAGTTATCATAATCAAAAATCATTGAAACTTCCCAAAGTAGGAACATTTGCCATCCCCATGCAACTGATGAATCATGAATGTCTGATACACAGATCAGAGTTCAATTAGCCTCATTCCAAAATCTTTAATTAAAACATAGAAACCAATATATATTTATGGTCTTTTATATGTCAAAGTCCATTTGCCATGTCTTCTACTTAGGATATTTCTAATACTCTTCAGATTTTTGTACACTTGGATCATAATCTTCTGTTTACATCATAATAGAGTTATGCTCATGATGAATAACTATCACATATTAAGTAGCAAAAGTAGTTTTTAAATTATTACTACTATTTCTAAGTCTATGCTCTTTCCCACTATGTTACAGTAAATGAGAAACTTTACAAACTAGATACTTGATAAAACCTGTTTATGCTACTTTCTTCTCATTATTTTGTCTTTTCAAATGGGAAAAAAGAAAAAACTATGTTTTTAAATCTCTTATTTGTATTTATATCAATATATACAAAATGCCTTACATTTTGGACACTCAGTATTGATTAAATGAATAAATAAACATGTAATAGATTTGTATATGAGTCTACGATTCAGAAGGTTTCATTTACTGTGGAGACTCATGAACTCCCTGTATTAGTCTGCTTTCGTGGTGCTGATAAAGACATACCTGAGGCTGGGCAATTTACAAAAGTAAGAAATTTAATTGGACTTACAGTTCCACATAGCTAGGGAAGACTCATAACCATGGTGTAAAGCAAGGAGGAGCAAGTCCCATCTTACACGGATGGCAGCAGGCAAAGAGAATGACGAAGACACAAAAGAGAAAACCTCTGATAAAACTATCAGATCTGTGAGACTTATTCACAAACACAAAACAGTATGAGGGAAACTGCCCCCATGATTCAATTATCTCCCATCAGGTCCCTGCCACAACACGTAGGAATTATGGGAGTACCATACAAGATGAGATTTGGGTGGGGACACAGAGCCAAACCATATCACCGCCTCATAAAGAGTGAACATTGGCTTTGGGAGGCCAAGGCAAGTGGATTGCCTGAGGTCAGGAGTTCAAGACCAGCCTGGCCAACATGGGGAAATTCTGCCTCTACTAAAAATACAAAAAAATTAGCCAAGTGTGGTGATGTGCGCCTGTAATCCCAGCTACTCGGGAGGCTGAGGCAGAGGAACTGCTTGAACCAGGGAGGTGGAGGTTGCAGTGAGCTGAGATTGCACCAGCCTGGGTGACAGAGTGAGACTCCATCTCAAAAAAAAAGAGTGAACATTGGGATTCAGATAATTTCCCTTCTCTTCTGCTTCTGTGGAGCTAAGTTTCAAAAAATGAAAGTCCTGACAACCTAAATGTCCATCAACCCATGAGTGGATAAAGAAAATGTGGTATATATACACCATTAAATACTACTAAGCCACAAAAAAGGAATGAAATAATGGCATTAACAGCAACTTGGATGGAGTTGGAGATCATTATTCTAAGTGACGTAGCTCAGGAATGGAAAACTAAATTTCATACATTTTCACTTACAAGTGGTTGCTAAGCTATGAGGATGCAAAGGCATAAGAATCATCTAATGGACTTTGGGGATTCGGGGGGAAGGGTGGGAGGGGGGTGAGGGATAAAAGACTACACATTGAGTACAGTGTATACTGCTCAAGTGACGGGTGCACCAAAATCACAGAAATTACCACTAAAGAACTTACCCATATAATAAAAAACTACCTGTTCCCCAAAACTATTGAAATAAAATTAAGTAAGCACTCTAGAACTGTAAATATATAAAGTCCTAGAATATATAACATACATTTGTCACAGCTCAAATTAGTTATTGCTCAGTCCAAGTGAGAGTTGTATTTCACTTATGGTATTCGGTGTTTCTTTTCCTATATGTATATCTCTGGCCTGTTTAAAAATGTTGCTGAGTTTTTAATGAATTGTTCTAGGAGTTTTAAAGTCATTCAGGTACACCCTATGTCCAATTTGTAGCTTAGTTTGCCAGTACTCTGTGATTTATCTGAATAAGAGCCTACTGTCTGAGGAAATGTTTAATTTTTGTTGTTAGAATATTTTGAAATTAAATTTGTGTTATTTTCCAAAGTTTTTAAGTCAATACTTTTGACATGAAATATAGATATTTAAGTTTTTTTTTTTTAAATTTAAAATCGGGGCACACAATTTTGATTTTCTTTCTTAGGAAATGTTATTGGAACTAGTGGGGACTCAGCACTGTCAGACTGTGATAGCTAAGATGCATCTTGGGACTGGATTGCCTAGGTTCATATTTGCCATTATATATTGTAACTTTGGGCAAGATACTTAAACTCTCTGTATCTCAGCTTCCTTCTTTGTAAACTGACTTTGACTGTAACATCTAACCCAAAGGATAAATTTGGTATATGTAAAGTACTTAGAAAAATTCCTAGCTCACTATAAGTATGCAAAAATTGTTATCCGTTTCATGTCATATATACATGTATAAAAACACATGCATATATATTCTCTGCAATTTATTTAGTATGTGAAATTTGCAAAAAGCGTTTTGTATATATATGATACTTATATATTTGTGCATATATATATACACATATATAAACACATACACACACAAATATGTGTTTGTGGTGATTTTTTTCTGGATCATAGAGTATGTCTTTTAGATTTTTTTATTTAATATTGAATTTTAATTTCATATATGTGACTGTATGCAGGTAAAATGGATAAATAATTAATATCATTTACTTTATAATTACACCAAAGATAAATATTTTATTGCTGAGGGTTTGTTAATTACCCCACCTTGCCAAAGCACACGTGTAATGAACAGCATTAGTGCTATATTTAAATCCAATCTATGCAAATCCAATATAATGCTTCAAAATATTGCTGTTTATTATTTAATCAAATGCACACTCTACAGTTAATTTATGGATTATCCTAATGATAAAAATCTTGTTTACCTCCAACTACTTCCTATCACAAGCTTGCCTAAGATGATAATGTGGTTTATGAAGAGAAGGCTTCACAAATACATCAAATGTTTAGAGATAGTATGAGAGAATTACTTCATTGTACAGAGAAACACCTAAGTTGAAATTCCACCTCACATAATTTGTAAGAATAATACCCTTGGAATATTCTTATATGTGAATTCTTATGGTTATTTGTGACAATGTTGCATAGATGATATATCAGGGATGTGATTTTCTTAGTCAAGGCCATATATGTACGAATGGCCACTGCTTTTTCAAATGGCAACACTGGCTTGCAATCTAAGCACTACTCAGAGGCTTTTCATTCCTACACTTTCTCAAGCATTATCTTGCTTTATAGCTTACATAAATTATAATGCAATTTGATCTCCCTCTGTTCTGTAAATTTTTATTTCTTTGAATGTACTTACTTTTATATAATTGTCATACATTTGTATTCCCTTACGTGACTTACCAATTGATATAACGTATCTATTTTACTTTATTTCCTGTCATTTGCTTGACTTGCAGCAAAACCTTATAAAATTCAAGTTGTTAATAATTTGCAGTTTTAAGTTTAGCAAATAACTTGTCCCAATTTGTCATTGTCTGTTATATTTGTCTGTGTTTTTAATTTTCCAACACAAATCCTCAGTTTCAGTGGAGTTTAATCCATCATTTTTTCTTAGTTTATATTTTCCAGGAATTAATATAGGATATTTTACCTCAAAAAACAATGGTATACTATAATTTCCTCTATCATCTCTTTATAATTCTAAATTTTATATTTAAATATGCAAACCCTATATGATTAATTTTGCATATTTGGAAGCTTTTATGTTATTATTTTCCATATAATGAAGGTTCTGTCAATGTATTCATAAACTAATCAGTTCTTTCATACATGAGCTTGATGTATATCTATGATAAACTAAGTTCTTACACATGGAAAGATACAATTCTGAGTCTCCTGTTCATTTCTTTATTTGTCTTGTCAGCTAAAGTAAATAGTTTTAATTATACTTTTGGAAAATATTTTAAAACTAGTAGAATAAATCTTCTGTGTTTACTCATGATTTTTATTATTTCCTTGAGCTTTCATAAGCCTTTTTTAATGTAGATTTTCCAGAGAAATGCAGTAGAAATTGTATTGGATTTCCAAATGTTTATAATTTTATGAAGGATAATTGGCATTTTTATAATATTAAATGATTACATTTATCAATGTTATATATTTTTATTTTTGTTTTGTTTTGTTATTAAATCCTTCCAGTTTCTCAGTTTTATAAGACTTTTTTCATACTTTTATTTTAGGTGCAGGGGTACATGTGTGTGTTTGTTACATACATAAATTGTGTGTCACAGGGGTTTGGTGTACGAATCACTTTGTCACCCAGCTAATAAGCCTAATAGCAAATAGGTAGTTTTTCTAACCTTTCTCTACTCCCACCCTCCCCACTCAAAGTAGGCCCCAGTATCTTTTGTTCCCTTCTTTGTGTCCATGTGTTCTCACTTTTTAGCTCCCACTTATAATTTAGAACGTGGTATTTGGTTTTCTGTTCCTGTGGTTAGTTGGCTTAGGATAATGGCCTACAGCTCCACCCACGTTGCTGCAAAGGGCACAATCTTATTTGTTTTTATGGCTGTGTAACATTCCATGGTGTGAATGTACCGCATTTTCTTTATCCAGTCTACCTTTGACGGGCATTTAGGTTGATTTTATGCCTTTTCTATTGTAAAGAGTGCTACAGTGAAAATATACATGCATCTGTCTTTATGGTAGAATGATTTATGTTCTTTGGATATATACTCACTAATAAGATAGCTGGATCTAAAGGTATTTCTGCTTTAAGTTCCTTGAGAAATTGTCAAATGGTTTTCCACAATGGCTGAGCTAACTTATATTCCCACCAACAGTGTATAGCATTCCTTCTTCTCTGCAACCTTGCCAGCATCTGCTATTTTTTGACTTTTTATTAGTAGCCATTATGGCTGGAGTGAGACAGTATCTCATTGTGGTTTTGAGTTGCATTTCTCTAATGATTAGTAATGTTGAGCAGTTTTTGTATATGCTTCTTGGCCACATGGATGTCTTCTTTTGCAAAGTGCTCATGTCCTTTGCTCACTTTTTAAAGTGTGTGTGTGTGTGTGTGTGTGTGTGTGTGTGTGTGTGTTCCTTATTAGATTAAGTTCCTAATAGAGTCTGGGTATTAGACTTTTGTTGGATGCCTAGTTTGTAAATATCTTCTCTCATTCTGTAGGTTGTCTGTTTATTCTGTTTATAGTTTCTTTTGCTCTGCAGAAGCACTTTAGTTTAATTAGGTCTCATTTGTCTGTTTTTGTTTGTGTTGCAATTGTTTTTGACATCTTTGTCATAAAATCTTTGCCAGGGCCTATGTCTAGAATGTTATTTCCTAGGGTATCTTCCAGGGTTTTTACAGTTTTAGATATTACATTTAAGATTTTAATCCTCCTTGAATTAATTTTTGTACATGATGTAACAAAGGGGTCCAGTTTCTATCTTCTGCATATGGCAAGCCAGTTATCCCAGCATGAATTATTAAATGGAGAGTCCTTTCCTTTTTGCTTATTTTTGTCAACTTTGTTGAAGATTAGAGGGATGTAGGTGTATGTCATTATTTCTGGGCTCTCTATTCCATTCCATTGGTCTATGTGTCTGTTTTTGTACCAGTACCATACTGTTTTGGTTACTGTAGACTTGTAGTATAGTTAGAAGTTGGGTAACATGGTAGTATAGTTAAAAGTTGGATAACATGATGGCTTCAGCTTTGTTCTTTTTGCTTAGGATCGTCTTGGTGCTTCAGCCTCTTTTTTTGTTCCCTATTAATTTGAAAATAGTTTTTTCTAATTCTATGAAGAATGCCATTGGTAGTTGGATAGGAATAGCATTGAATCTGCAAATTGCTTTGGGCAGTATGGCCATTTCGACAATATTGTTTGTTCCTATTCATGAACATAAAATGTTTTTCCATTTGTTTATGTCATCTTTGATTTCTTTGAGCAGTGTTTTGTAATTCTCATTTTAGAGTTATTTCACCTCTCTGGTTAACTGTATTCCTAGGTATTTCATCCTCTTTGTGGCTATTGGGAATGGTATTGTGTTCTTGATTTGGCTCTCAGTGTGGATGTTATTGGTGTATGGAAATGCTACTAATTTTTGTACATTGGTTTTGTATCCTGATACTTTGCAAAAGTGGTTAATCAGATCTAGTGGGAGCTTTGGGGCAGATACTATAGTGTTTTCTAAGTATAGAAACATATCTGCAAATGGAGATAATTAGACTTCCTCTTTTCCTATTTTGATACCCTTTATTTCTTTCTCTTGCTTGATTGCTCTGGCTAGGACTTCCAGTACTATAATGTATAATGCTGAGAGTGAGGATCCTTGTCTTGTTCCAGTTCTCAAATGAAATCCTTTCAGCTTTTGCTCATTCAGTATGATGTTGGCCGTGGGTCTGTCATAGATTGCACTTATTATTTTGAGGTATGTTCCTTCAATGCCTGGTTTTTTGAAGATTTTTAACATGAAGGAATGTTGAATTTTATCAAAAGTCTTTTTTCATCTATTGAAATGATCATGTGTTTTTTTTTAATTTTAGTTCTGTGTATGTGATGAATCACGTTTATTGATTTGCGTATGTTGAACCCATCTTGCATCTCAGGGATAAAGCCTACTTGATTGTGGCAGATTAACTTTTTGATGTGCTGCTGGATTTTGTTTGCTTCTATTTTGTTTGCTTGTATTTTGTTGAAGATTTTTGCATCTATGTTCATCAAGGATATTGGCCTGAAGTTTTCTTTTTGTTGTTGTTGTTGCGCCTCTGCTACGTTTTGGTGTCAGGATGATGCTGGCCTTGTAGAAAGAGTTCAAAAGGAGTTCCTCCTCCTCAATTGTTTGGAATAGTTTCAGGAGGAATAGTATCTGCTCTTCTTTATACATGTGGTAGAATTCAGCTGTGAATCCATCTAATCCTGTACTTTTTCTGGTTAGCAGGCTTTTAATTACTGATCCAATTTTGGACCTCATTATTTGTCTCTTTAGGGTTTCAATTTCTTCCTGGTTTAATATTTCCAGGAATTTATCCATTTATTTAGTTTTTCTAGTTTGTGTGCATAGAGGTGTTTTAATAGCCTCTAAGGGGTTTTTGGTATTTCTTTGGTGTCAATAGTAACATCCCCTTTGTCATTTCTGATTATGTTTTTTTGGATCGTCTCTCACTTTTTCTTTATTAATCTAGCTAGTCGTCTACCCATCTTATTTTTTCCTTCATTAAACCAACTTCTGTTTTTTTGATCCATTTTTTGTGTCTCAATTTTCTTTAGTTCAGCTATTATTTTGTTTATTTATTTTCTTCTGCTAGCTTTGGGTTTTATTTGCTCTTGTTTCTCTAGTTCCGTGAGGTGTGATCTTCAGTTGTTAATTTGAGATCTTTCAAACTTTTTGATGTGAGTGTTATAGTGCTATAAACTTCCTCCTAAACACTGTATTAGCTGTGTCCCAGAGATTCTGGTATGTTGTATGTTTGTTCTCATTGGTTTCAAAGAATTTCTTGATTTCTGCCTTAATTTCATTGTTTATCTAAAAGTAATTCAGGAGAAGATTATTCAATTTCCATGTGATTGTATAGTTTTGAGCAACTTTCTTAGTATTGATATCTGTTTTTATTGTACTGTGGACCGAGTATGTTTGTTGCAATTTCACTTTTTTTTTTTTTTTTTTTTTTTTTTTTTTTACTTAGCTAAGGATTGTTTTATGGCAAATTGTGTGGTCAATTTTAGAATACATGCCACGTGTAGATGAGAAGAACGTATATTCCATTGTTTTGGGGTGAAGAGTTCTGTAGATACCTGTAAGGCTTATTTGGTAAAGTGTTGAGTTCAGGTCCTGAATATCATTGTTCATTTTAGGCCTTGATGATGTATCTAATATTGCCAGTGGTTTGTTGAAGTCTCCCACTATTATTGTGTGATTATCTAAGTCTCTTCACAAGTCTATAAGAACTTGAATTATGGGTCTGGGTGCTCTCGTGTTGGATGCATATATATTTAGGATAGTTAGGTCTTCTTTTTGACCTTTACTATTAGGTAATGACTTTCTTTGTCTTTTTTGATTATTGTTGGTTTAATGTCTGTTTCACCTTAAGTTAGAATAGCAACCTTGCTTTTTTTCTGCTTTTCATTTCCTTGGTAATTTTATCTCCATTCCTTGACTTTGAACCTATGGATGTCATTGCATGTGAGATGGATCTCTTGAAGGCACCATACAGTTGAGTCTTGTATCTTTATCCAACTCGCCACTCCGTGCCTTTTAATTGGGTCATTAACCCATTTACATTCAAGGTTAACATTGACATGTGCAGATTTGATCCTGTTATCATGTTGTTAGGTGGTTATTACGCAGACTCGATTGTGCCGTTACTTTATACTATCAATTTTCTATACACTTAAGAGTGTGCTTTTTTTTTTTTTTAGATGTAGTCTTGCTCTGTCACCCAGGCTGGAGTACAGTGGCATGATCTTGGCTCACTGCAACCTCTGCCTCCCAGGTTCAAGCCTCCCAAGTAGCTGAAATAACAGGTGCCCACCACCACACCCAGCTAATTTTTTAATTTTTAGTAGAGACAGGGTTTCACCATGTTGGCCAGGCTGGTCTTGAACTTCTGAACTTGTGATCTGCTTGTCTCGGTCTCCCAGTGTGCTGGGATTACAGGCATGAGCCATTGTGCCTGGCCTTAAGTGTGTTTTTGTGGTGTCCAGTAATGGTCTTTCATGTCCATATTCAGCATTCCTTAAGTACCTCTTGTAAGGCAAGTCTGGTGGTGATGAATTTCTTTAGCATTTGCTTGTCTGAAAAGGATCTTCTTTCTCCTTTGGTGTTTTGCTGCATATGAAATTCTTTTTTAGAGTTGTGTGGGATTTTGTTTTTGTTTTTGTTTTTTCTGTAAGAATGCTGAATACATGCTCCATTCTCTTTTGGCTTGTAGGGTTTCTGCTGAATGACCCACTATTAGCCTAATGGGTTTTCCTATGTAGGCCACCTGTCCTTTCTCTCTAGTGGCCTATAATATTTTTTCTTTCATGTTGCCCTTGGAGAATCTGAGCATTATGCAAACATTCTCTGCATCTCCTGAATTTGAATGTTAGCCTCTCTAGTGAGACTGGAGAAATTTTTATGGATAATATTCTCAAATACATTTTCCAGTTGCTTGTTTTCTTTCCCTCCCTTTCAGGGAATTCAGTGAGTCATAGATTTGGTCTCTCCATATAATCCCATATTTCTCAGAGATTTTGTTCCTTCTTTTTAATTCTTTTTTTCTTTATTTTTATCTGAGTTACTTCAGAGAACCAACTAATCTTTGAGGTCTGAGATTCTTTCCTCAACTTGGCCTATTCTGCTTTTAATTCTTGTGATTGTATTAGGAAATTCTGGCAGTGTGTATTTCAGCTGTATCAGATCAGGTTGTTTCTTTCTTATAATGGCCATTTTGTGTGTCTGCTCCTGTATCATATTACTGTAATCCTTAGATTCCTTGGATTAGGTTTTGACTTTCTCCTGACTCTCAATTATCTTCATTCCCATCCTTATTCTGATTTTTATATCTGTCATTTCAACCTAGTTAAGAACCTTTGCTGAGGAACTAGTACAGTCATTTGGCAGAAAGAAGACACTCTGCCTTTTTTGAGATGCCATAGTTTTGCACTGGTTCTTTCTCATCTGTGTTGGCTGATGTTCTTGTAACTGTGGTATAATTTGAATACAGTCAGTTGACTTCTTTTATAGATATTTTCATAGGGCCAAGCCTTTATGCAAGTCTTTATTTGTAGCCAAATTCTTGTTCTTGATTTCATAGGAGGGTATGTTAGCAAAATATTTTTTGGTGTTGAAGTTTGGGCCATGATCCGGTAGATTAAGCATAATGGCTTGTAGGTAAGCTCTTGCTCAGCCATGTGGCTCCTCTGTATTTCCTCACATTTGCAGCCGTGCTCTCTCTGAACGCTCTGAAAGTGTGGGCTCCTCTCCCACTAGAGTCCTGGCTGCAGATCTTGAGTTGGCAATCCTGGGCTGCACACAGCAGCCCTGGGGCAGGCTTAGGCTTTTTGTTCCTTCCCCATTATGGAAGCAGCAGGGGAAGGGAGCTTAGCAGTGATTGTCACAGAGGACCTTTCACTTGTCTATTGGGGCTCCACCCCATAGAAATGTAGAGCCACTGCCAATCAGTGCGACTGGCCTCAGGTGGGGCAGCTGTGTTGTGGTTCCAAGCCAGAGGGCTCTGCTTGGTGAAGAGCAGGAGAGGTGAGTTGCTTGCTGGGGAGACAAACTGTCCTCTTCTTAGAGTGCCTGTGGTTTGCTGGAGGTGCAACTAAAGCACTCAGGGTGTTTGTTTCTTTCCCAGTACAAGGGCAGCAAGGGTAGTACCACTGCAGTGGCAGTGGCAGAGGGGCTCTCACTTGCCTCTGGGAACTGCATCTTAGAGAAATGCAGAGCCTCGGGTAATGGGAATGTTCAGCCAGGGGATGGGGTTGCTGAGATGCTGGCCTGAGCTGAGGGTCTTGCTTGGTGAAGAGCTAGAGGTTGAGAGCTCAAATGCAAGAGATACTGGGCTCTTCCACATGGTGGTTGAAGCATGCTGGAGGTGCCAGCACAGCAACCATGCTTTGTTCCTTCCCCAGCCCAAGGACAGTAATGGCAGTACCACTGCAGCTGCAATGTCAGAAGGGCTATGGGTTGTCTCTGGGATTTCCTCCTCAAAGAAATGTGGAGCTACAACCAACTGAGGTGTTCAGGCAGGGGCAGGGTGGTTGTTCTAGGGGCCCAGGTGGAGAGGCCATGACAAGTGAGGAGTAGCAGGGGTGGGGACCTGCGTGCAAGATAGTCTGGCCACTTTTCCTGAAGGCAGCTATCCTGTGCTGTGGGTCCCTGTTAGTTCCTAATCACTGCACTCCATCCCAAGTCTGAGGGCAAGAGGAGCAAGGGCTTTAGGGCAGCAAAAAGAGTGGCCCACCTGCTACCTCTGGGAGCCCCATCCCAGGGAAGGGCAGAGCTGAGACCTCAGGTGGGGTTGGGGTAGCTAGCTGCACAGGGTCCTAGGCCAGTGGGCCTTGTCTGGTGAGATGCAGTGGAGGTGAGGCTTGCCATCTGTCTGCTGCTCAGCCCTGTGGATTCCACCTCTATCTTGGAGTCATATGAGGAAGCCATGGCTGGAGCTGCAGCCTCTGGGATTGTGGGTACCTGGGGATCCAAGTTTCCTGGGACTCTGTGTGTGCCTGATGGCGGCTCTGCTTAGACTTCACATAGCTCTCTGTCAGTCTGGAGGCCCTGGTGGAAGGGGGACACTGGGGATCTTCTGAGTCCAGGGTTGCAAAGTCCACAACAGAAGTGTGGGTACCCATGGAGTCTCAATCACTCACCATTTTTCCACAGTGGAGGGCCTCCCCTGGCTCTGGGCCATTCCTGGGTGGGGTGGTCGGCTGTCCTGTCTTGCTCTTCTCTGTTCTCCGTGGGGCCACATTGCTTCTTTGATGAATCCCAATGTGTCCACCTGGATATCCAGTTGGAGAGCTAGTGTTTACTTGCCACTCTTTCGTCCCTCCTGTGAGCAGTGAACACCAGCTCCTTCTAGTTAGCCATCTTGAATGTAATCACTTTGTAAATTTTCCAACATTACTTTTCACAACTTCTCCTAATGATATTTATTCCCTAGATAGCACATACCACATTCCTAAATTTATGAATGACATAGTCATAATTGGTTCAAAGAAGAATAGTATGTTTGTCCCAAAAACTAGAGTAAAAATTATAATTCTTTCAGCAACTAATTGTGTAACTTTGAAAAAGGTATTGTGCATATCTTTACAGCAGTTTCTTCTTTAATAATTTGTTAACAAGATATTTGAGGATATATTGTTGAGATTCTAATTGAAATATGTGTATACTCAGCATGTAGTAGACTCTTCCTAATGCCTCCTAATAAATAATCATATTAAATACCTTGACTTCATCACCGCACATTATATACATGTAACAACATTTCTCATGTACTTCATACATTTATACAAAAAAATCATATTAATAATAAGTATCAGTCTTTGTATGAAGAAACCACCATTTAATGCCAGGCTAATTTTTTTTTTTTTTCTTGAGACAGGGTTTCTCTCTGTCACCCAGGCTGAAGTGCAGTGGTCCAATCTTGGCACGCTGCAACCTCCCTCTCCCAGACTCAGGTGATCCTCCCACCTCAGCCAACCAATCTCAGTAGCTGGGACTACAGGTCTATGCCACCATGCTCAGCTGATTTTTGTGTTTTTTTGTAGAGATGGGGTTTTGCCATGTTGCCCAAACTTGTCTTGAACTGCTGGGCTCAAGCGATCCACCCACTTCAGCCTCCCAGAATGCTTGGGAGTATAGGTGTGAGCCACCACACCTGGCCCAGGCTAAATTCCTTATTTGCATGAATATCAACATGGGTGCTATTACACATATTAACTCATTTTATGTTCATTGTGACACTAGCACTATCTCTGATTGTTTTAAATAAGTACCCACTAGTTCTAGAAGGTGATATATTTATAGTAGTAGCTAGTGTTTTTAGAGAATTTTAGTTTGACAAATCTATGGCAAGTGTATTACATGAAAGATCTTGACCAAAATTTGCAAACACCCTTGTATTACGTGCAAATATTAGTACCATTTTATAGATGGTTAACCTTTGCTATCGACATTTTTGTTAAAATTTCCTTATTTCACAGAACTTGATCTGATATTTAAACTCAGATCTGCCTAAATCCAGACCTTCTGTGTTTAAATACTATGCTACACTGTTAAGCAAGAGCATTTTCCTTCTGCTATAATTATTGTGGGGTGCAAAAACATTTTAATAAAGTTTTTAACAATTAGTGTGAAAGAAGGGAGATTTGTAGTTTAATCTCAGGTGACACAATATTATAAAGGAAAATCTGTTGTCTGAGGATTTTGTTTAATCAAAGATTTTTCTTTCCTTCTTTGTTCTGTTTAAGAGTCTCAGCTCACTATTACAATTCTTTTCAGAAACTAAGAGAAAAACAGGCTATAGAGTGGAATTTGTTTATGGAAAAGCATTCTACAATGCTGTCAGCTCAGCCGCTTGGTTGAAGAACTTACTATGTGAGTGGGAATTTAATGCTAACACCTTGGGACTCATTGTCCAACTGTGGGTTTTGTCAGGCAAACATATGCAGCCACTGGGAGAATGCATGTACTTTAGCAAGAACTTTTTAGAGTCATAGTTTGAAACTTACATGAGTCTAAAAGTGTCTTATTGCCTTCTCCTATATTGCTCGGACAGCAGACATAATTCATTCATACTTGCTGTAGCACTCATTCATGATTTGTGTTACATTTGGTCATAAAGTTTCTGACATACTTTTTATTAGATTTAATATAAGTTTCTCAATAAAGATTACACTCAGATTGTGAAATGGTAAACATATTTTGTTCAAGATACCCATTTATTATTTTTTTCTTTCCGGCCTGGTGTTTATTATTATTTTCTGCCTGCTCAAAATAATTTTGCCAATGAATATTTTATCATGCTATATGACTATGCATATCTTGAAGACAAAGGCCAAGTGAGCATGAACAATGACTGGGAAGAAGCTAATAAGAATTCAACGGAGAAGTAAAAAGCAAATCAGTCTTGGATGCAGGGGACCTAAGATTTATGTTTTACTCAACCAGTAAGTAGATATGTTATGATATGGATGTCATTTTTACTCATGATACCTTAGTCACTCCTTCCCTCTCCTCCCTCCCAAGTATAATATAGACACTGATTGAGGTTATACTTTCCTAAATATGTCAAACAAAAGTGCTACTAGATCTTATGTCACTGCTGCTAAAGTTCTTCTGAAGTTGTCTATGCATTCTGGCAGTCTTATCTTCTGATCACAAAGGACTCTACTGAATTCTTATTATGGTTTTGTGTCTTCAGCCTCTCCTTTTGTGTCTTCAGCCTCCCCATCTTTTTATTAATCCAAAGGTAGAACTCATGCCCTTTTCCTGATTTCCACAATAAAACAATAAGAGAAACAACATCAACAACAGAAACATAAACTTCAACAATAGGTGGAAACATAATTTTTTCATTGCACAAATGTTTATAATGTTACGAAGTTTTTTGGAGGAGAAGATATAAAATTCACATCATCAAAAACCAACAACACAGAAATAAAAGTTAGGCTAAAATATTAGATAATCCTGTGCTTGGAAATCGGCAGAAAACGTGGCAACAACTATCAAGTAATTTATCTACTTAATTGTATTTTCTCCCTGTAATTTCTCTTCCCCCCCCACATTAATTTCTCTACTTTTTCTTGTCTCACCCCTCACCAGACGATGTCTCTTATGTTTCTATATTCCTCCCTCCCAACCCCTTTTCCCCATAGCATTAATTACTTCTAAGAAAACACATAATTTATTCATTTATTTATTAGATTTATCATTGTTATATCTTCAACCCACATACCTAGTCAAATTTAAGCTATAAGAAGACAAAGCTGTTTGTCTTTACATTTAACCACTTATGGCAATTCTTTACACAGAATAGTCATTCAAGAAACATTTATTCAATGAAGGAAGAAACAGATTGCTATTGGAAACTAAATTATTCTACACAGAGCAATTCGACACATCAATATACTCCATTAAAACTGAAAATCCTCTTTTATTTCTTTACTTGCACTTTTTTACTTATTTCCTTTTTTCTTAAAAGTCGCCATTGTTAAAATTCGGTTTTGTTCTGAGTAATTTTTTTCTCTCTTTCTCTGTTTCTTGTTTGTTTGGTTGGTTTTTGGCTATTCTATGTGTAGTATCTGCCTTGATCCATGATTGATCCATGATAAAGTACATCAGGAGGCAGGCACTAACCTCATGTGTATCAATATTATACATTCTACAATATATTATACATAAACACGATTTCTTCTAGAGCACCTTCCTAGAGGAGTGACCACTTTTAACCTGCACACTTGTAAGAGCTGTTTTCTCTACTCTTGCCTTGTTTTGCCTCTTTAGTCTCACATGAGACAATAAAACTCTTCAAAGAAAGAAGCAGATATTGCAGAACCAAAACAGGAAGGTAATTCCACATGTATTAATCACCTGTGCTGAAAAGTGGACTTCCAGCAAGAACCTCTCCCCTCCACAGAAGACAATGCTGGGCATCCTCATCCATAGTCAAGCATGCTTTAATTATACCACCAGCATATTTTAAAGCACATTCTGTACTACCTTCATACATCTGTGGGCATTAATAAAATTGTCTCACATTTTAAAATTATCTATTTCCAAAGACTGCAGTGTAGTGTTTAATAATATGGGTTTTAAAAATGAAAAAAAAAATTAAATTTTGTTTCGGAAACCTTGTGTTCAATTCTATATAAAAACTAGTATAAATTGAGTGTGTTGCCTATCTGCTTACCATTTCCCTAAAACATAATATAAGGCTAATAATGCTGCTTCTATCAAGAGATTTTGTGAGAAGTGTGGATGAGACAACACATGTAAATTCTTAGCAAATCACTTGCCATAGTAAAATCTCATTAAATAAAATCTACCACTTTTGTACATATGCAATGACCCCTCTGCATACCATTTTCAAAGCAGAGGTACAAATTTTGTTTTGAATTCTATCAGTAATTTAAAATGAGGAATCTACCTCTTTGCAGCAAACTTGCGTGTGTGCACATACGTGCATGACAAAAACATTATTAAACTATCTAAAATCTCTTCTTAAAATTCCAATATGCAGAAAGCAGAAGGCCAGAGTCTTGCCTATTTTTGACAAAATTTAAAAACTTAGAAAACCTATTTGAGGAAAATAAGAGAACATGAAAATAATTTTGCCAATTTTTATGGTGAAAATCTGGAACATTTAATGTGGCAAAGCAGCGAAAATGAAGGAGAGGATGTAAAGAATTATGAATGATTCTAGGTTCTTGTCAATTCGGAGATCTAAAGTTCATTTTAGTGATGCTGTCCATTGGCAGATATGTGATTTTAGTGTATTTTCTTCTCTCTGATCAAACTCCTGTCTTTTTACAATCTTATCTCCTTACAGTTCTCCTCTCTATTTCATTCTTTTTCTAACTCTCAGTATGCTATAGTGGTTACTGGCACAGAATCCGGTGTCAGATGACCTGGGTTCTGATCCTCGGTAAACTACTTGTTTGTTGTTTATAATAGGGCACATTATTCATTCTTCTATTTCCCTTAGTTTCTTCATGTACAAGCTAAACTTATGTTTAAGGATTTGTGCTAAAAAAAAAAATGAGTTAACATATGTAGCATGCTTAGAAGAGGACCAGCCATATAGAGAATAATGAGTAATATTAGCTATTAATGTGGTATATTTTGATATCTGGCATGGCAAGCTTCCCTTTCTCAGTTTCACACTATTTCAAATAAAAATTGAGTATTCTATTTTCTTTCTTATTTTACATGAAATGTAACAATGTATTCAAGTTTCTTCCAAATCTCATTAACCCTATTGTGATTTTCATTGGAATTATATTAAATCCATGTATCAGTAGTGAAGAATCAACTTTTAATTTCTATTAATTACCCCCAAATCTAGCAAGAAATATAGTATAACCCTCAATTTATTAATATCTTTTTAAGGTCCCTAAACACATTTTATATGTACTTTATACATGCCCTACATATTCTGTTATTTTTAATATATGTTTTACTTTTGCAGAAGTCTTTTTATTACTTCTGAACCAATCTTTGTGGATGTTCAGGAAAGCTATTGCTTTATCTTTCTGTGTGTTATAAACTCTAAGCACTCTGAATTTCATTTTATTAATATAATTGGTTTCCAGTTGGTTCAGTGACATCCTCCAAGATTATCATACCATCTACAAATACTGAAATTTGTCTTCTTCCTCTAGTTTTGTAATTAACATCTATTTCTTTCCTCACAGCAATTTAGAGTGTTAGAATAATGTAAATTAAAGTATATACCTGTATTAGCTATTATTCATTTTATCCTGATTCCAATATAATTATCCTGAGTTTTGTTTCCCCTGTTGAATAAAATATAGAATTTCATCACTTGGTGTGCCTTAGAAATAATATATTTCTAAGACTTACATTTTAGAGGAGAAGATGAAGGAGCACAAGGTATAGCAAATGGTCCAAGGCCATAAAGTAAGCTGGAGGTATAGGCCTATTTATATCACAGTTTTCCCAAGTTGAGACAAATTTCTCTTTGGTATCTTACTCTGAATCAACCTGATAAATAATTAATAGTTTTTTGCTCCTGTCCCATTCTGCCTGTGAAGTTAGTGTTTTAGTAGACCAATGCTAGTTCCATTAACCCTTGCAGAGACAGTAGTAGGAGAGCTTCTTCCACTCTGCAGTCTGAGAAGAGGCATTCTTGGACTTCTCTAAATTGTAAAGAGAAGTTTTATACAGTTACTGTCATAAAATGTTTTATAAATAGTGAAGTCTTAGGAATTCTCAAAGTCTCAGTTGGTAAGAGAACTCAAAATCTAAGGATTTAAAATGATCTTTCTCCCTGGGAGACAGAACAAATTAATATATTATGTGGTTTCCCTATCCAATGAACTTGGATAGGGCTTGTTGATAGTTAAAGACAGATTGTTTTATACAGAAGAGAATAATTTGATATCCCACTGACTTAAGTAAAGTACATTGGACATGTCATCTACCTGAAGAGTGTGGCTATTACATAGTCAGAAGAATGAAGAATAAGATATCTTTCCTTCTACAAAGAGCAGAGGAACATGGTGTTATCTGTTAGTTCTTACAGAGTTTCCAACTAAAGCCAAAAAACGATTTTTGGAAGGTAATGTATTAGTTTTTATTTATGTTGATGATTGAGAAGATGGGGAAGTTTTGCTCCAAGGATACTTTTTAAATATTTTTTTCTTATTTTTATCTGCAACCAACTCACCCCATGAAGGATAATTTTGTTTAATAAGTCAAAGTGGACCCTTCAGAACTCATGAAATAGCTTCAAAATATGTAAAGCAAATTGAGCCAGCTCAGTGCAGTGAGTCTTTAGGGCCAACAGAGTTATCTGAAATTTCCTCAGGAAATTGTACGTAAAGTAAAACAGTTAAAAGTTGTAATATTTCATCCCACTCAAATTCAAATTACTTAGTTGGCATGGAACTTTTTTCCAAAAAATATTTGAATATCCTACTATATGACATGGGCTTCTTTCCCCGTAACAAAGGCGGGGATGAGGGTTAGGAAAGTGATTTGACAGTTGACATGTCATCTATTAAGCCTGTGGGACTCCAGAGATTCCTGAATACAGGATAGTTTGCCATGGATGTGGATATCCCATGCATGAGATAATATATCTTATTAGATGTATTCAACTATCCTATCCCTCCGACATAGACATATAAATAGCCACTCCAACGCTCAACTACAGAGAAAGGGGCAAAATAGAATTATTCCATTCAGGCAGTCTCTTTTTGTTGTTATTGCTATTTTTAATTAAGAATTCATTATTCTTCCAATAGAAGCATTTATTAAAAAAAGAATATTGCTAAAAAATGTTCTGTCTACTTACTACTTTTTTACAAGATTGTCAACTTTGCAATGTTGTATTTATATCTCTGAATTATGAGAGAGAACGTTCTCTGAGAGATTGATAAACTCACTCCAGAAATGAACTTTAAAGTATTCCAGGTGTCTGGATGAAGCAGAGGGTTCCAGACAGAATGATGTTCTAGTCTTTTTGGCGCATGTGCTTTCTGTCTCCATCTAGTTAAAAATGCTTGCACTTAACAGTCATTTGCATATTATATAGACATTTCCCTTGATATTTTTAATCTTTGACACCTCCTATCATTATTAAACCAATCACCATAACACCTACTTCAAAAATGATACATTATATCCCCTGAGTTTATCAATCATAAAACAATCTCAGTCCATCATCACATGAATTATTACAAAACTGTTTGATATGTGTACCAAAAAGGGAAAAGTAGTCTCTTGTCTTTGAACTTTTCAAGACAATCGCATTAAGGGCTGAACTGTATCGCACTCCATGTCAATTATAAAGACATTATTCAATGGCTTTACTCAATCCATTTGACTTACAGTTAACCCCACAACTTTCACTATTAACTTTCCTTTCTACTTCTTTTAATATTTGACACTTATACATCCTAAAAGATTGGTAGGATCTTTGAAATAGAAGTAGATATCGACAGTACAGAATTTGCCTGAGTGGGGGATGTAAAACTAGGATGTAAATCAGAGTGATTTTTATTGAAATAAGAGATGGTTTTAGACGGTATGTCGAAAAGGCAATAATTAACCTTGAATCTTATAGTGAGAAAGTTATTCTCTTCTCAACTTTCTTTCATTCCCTCTGGATACATCAAGGAGAATGAATCAGTATGTTGCAAATGGGTCTTTAACACAACTTCAACACTTGCCATTGTAACCAAGATAGAGTGTAGCTCAGGCTCAAAGCCTTTAACAGAGCATGACAAAGGTATATATTTTGTTCTTTCATTTAATTTTAGTATCTTATATTTAAGGTAAGTGAGGTGGCTTTCCATTTATTGTAATGATAAAAAGTTTCTTTTTAAACATATCAAGGTAAGCGAGGTTTTGATTGTAAAATATCAACAAATAATAGTTGATATAGTATGTAGAAGTAGCCCAAATCATAATGACAGTTTGCAAACACCTAAAGTTTGGGAAATACTGACCTTAATAAAAGAGAAAAAAATCCTTTAATACTCTGTTACATTCCTTAGAATCTACCATCCAATAATGCCACTGAATAATATCTACAACATATTGGTAATATTAACACAAGTAAAGAGTAGCTATATCTAAAACTGTTTTCAAATGTGTAATATAAGTCCATTAGGAAGTCAACAGATTTGTATTTTTCTAAGATTTAGTGTATACTTTAAATGTACACACTATCGATGTGGATTGTGAATATATGTATGTGTGTGTATAAATGCATATGTATATGTGTATGTATATATGTAAGAAATTCAGTGGCATAAAGTATAGCAATAACTTTGTGTATACATATATACACACACACATATAGTTTTACAAAATTGTAGCTTTTTTCCGACATTTATTATGTGCTTCACACTGGATGTTATACATAAAATTTTGCTTCATTTCCCCAACTCTCTATGATGTTTTATGGACACTATTCCCATTTTACAAATGAGAAAACTAAGTCAGAATTAAATATCTTGCACACAATTATACACATATTAAGTAATAAAGTTATATTCAAATTCAGGAAAAAAAAATTCCTTAACTACAGTAAAAGCAACCAATGCATATTAACACTCCTGGGTTAACTTCATTTTGACAATAAAAATATAACAAAGAAAAATTTGAAAATTTATAGACTCTAATGTTGAAACATTTTCTTAGAACTCGAAAGTGATCTCATATCTAGAGATGACAGACCTACATTTTCAGATATAATTCGTTTTCTCAGTCCATGCTGTTGTGCTGCAGTTTCCTGCTCTCTAGATGACAGTTCTTAGAGATTAAGCAGATAGATGGAAGCATCAATCTTCAGTTTGAAAGTTATTAAAGAATTAAAAAAATAAATTGAAAATTGTGTGCACCAGATGGATTTCTTGAAACCTGAGTTCCAATCCCAATGACACCATTTATAATCCTGTGTCTTTGAAGAGTGACCTTTAGTTTTCTCATATTGAAAACTGGCAATAATTGCTAATGAGATATTTGTGTGATGAATTAATGAATTGCTGTTTAGTAAATGTGAAAACAACAAAACAAAGCAAAAGCATATTTTCTGACATATGTGGCAAGGACTCTAGAATTTTCTGGTATTTTCATGATTTCATACATCTTTCAGTGACTTCACAATCTCCTCATTTAAATTATGCTTATATGTTTGGCAAGATTAATTGCCTCTTAATGTAGAAACACTGCCAAGATGGAGGTAACACATCGAAAGATACAATAAACCTTAAACTAAAAATCACCTCTATCCCAACAAGAGTTGCTCAGCTGCTACTTTTGTATGATTTTGGACAGATTTCTGCTGTCCCACCAAATGAGACACACAGCCTTTAAAACCTTCACCAACATTTGCTCACAATGTATCTTCTTTTGTTTTTCAAATCCACCATAGTAGTCAAACACTATATTTCTTAAAGCAGGTAGCAAGGCATATCAATAAATTAAGAGAAAGATTTAAGTCAATTGGTTAACTGTTGCTGCCAGGGAGTTAGAATGTATTCTTTCACTTACAAAAGTGAGAAGTTCCCTGGCATGAAGTGTAGCAATAATTTTGACGATGTTTCACTTGAGGAAACATGATAGACCAGAAAGAAAATAGTCTTGGGAAATCAAGAACCCTGGGTTCTTATCCAAACATAGTTCACGGAATGATGATGAGGGCAAAAGGGAAAGAGTTGCACATATTCTCTTTTATTTCTTTGAGCAGTGGTTTGTAGTTCTCCTTGAAGAGGTCCTTCACATCCCTTGTAAGTTGGATTCCTAGGTATTTTATTCTCTTTGAAGCAATTGTGAATGGGAGTTCACTCATGATTTGGCTCTCTGTTTGTGTGTTGTTGGTGTATAAGAATGCTGATTCCTCAGGGATCTAGAACTAGAAATACCATTTGACCCAGCCATCCCATTACTGGGTATATACCCAAATGACTATAAATCATGCTGCTATAAAGACACATGCACACGTATGTTTATTGCGGCATTATTCACAATAGCAAAGACTTGGAACCAACCCAAATGTCCAACAATGATAGACTGGATTAAGAAAATGTGGAACATATACACCATGGAATACTATGCAGCCATAAAAAATGATGAGTTCACGTCCTTTGTAGGGACATGGATGAAATTGGAAATCATCATTCTCAGTAAACTATCGCAAGAACAAAAAACCAAACACCGCATATTCTCACTCATAGGTGGGAATTGAACAATGAGATCACATGGACACAGGAAGGGGAATATCACACTCTGGGGACTGTTGTGGGGTGGGGGGAGGGGGGAGGGATAGCATTGGGAGATATACCTAATGCTAGATGACGAGTTAGTGGGTGCAGCGCACCAGCACGGCACATGTATACATATGTAACTAACCTGCACAATGTGCACATGTACCCTAAAACTTAAAGTATAATTAAAAAGAAAAAAAAAAAAGAGTTGCACATATTGTTTAAGAACTCAGGCTCTGAAGTCATATTGCTTGGGTAATGTTTTGCTTCACCTTCTCATTATTTCTATGATCTTGATAAGATTCCTTAATATTTCTGAGTTCAGTTTCCCCATTTAATAAATGAGGATAGTTAATAGTACCCTCCTCATTGGTGTTTTGAAAGGCTAGAAAGCAACAATGGTTATAAAAATCTTAGGACAGTGCCTATAACAACAGTATCACTCCATAAATAATAGTTTATGTTGTTGCTGTTAGTATTATTGCTATATTTCAACTCTACTTTCTTTAGCTAAAATATGAAAAAATTGGGCTAAATAATTGCTGAGATAATTTACAGCTGTCATATATTATGACTTCATTAATTTTTGCTTTAGATTTTTATAAAAATCTTTTAGTTAGCAGAATCATTGACAATGCATAATAACTTGTCCTGTTTATTGATTATTTTCAGCCCTGAAAAGAGAATCTGGTTATGTGTTCAATGAATATTAATTGTATGAATACAACTTCATGAGCATCAAGTAGACCTAATCAAATCAGAATCTCTGGGACGGAGATACAGGATTTTGCTTTTTTTAAAAAACAAACAAACAAACAAACAAAAAACACTTTTAAATACAGTAAAAGTGTATTTTTAGGCTGTACTAATGAGTTTAATCTGTGCACTACACTTTGAAAAACATAGTTTTAGGAAATACGATATGTAATGGGGATTAAAGTACTCATATAATGTGTTGTCAAAATTAGGATAATTTTATCAGTAAACTGGGATATTAATGATAACTATGACAACAAAACTGGCATGGATTTGGATTTTATTGATCAGTGGGGAAAAGTAGACACCCTAAAAAGGACACTGCTGGAATGCACCAAGGGTATGTATGATACCCAATTTTTGACTGATCCCCAGGAGATGTCTGTATACAAGATTTTTGGAGGATTGTTTCCCAGGGCTGAGGTTTTTGGAAGCCAGTGAGCTTGCAAAGTTATAAGACACTGATTTTGACCCAGAGAAGAGAACTCGTGTATTACATTTATATTCAGGAAAGATGTTGGATGATAAAAAAAATAATAACTAATGCCAGGAAATTCAACCAATTATGCAAATGTAAACTAATATGAGAATTATTTTTTTCCAAAGTAAGATTAATGACACAAGATTTCCAAATACCAAGAACTATTCATATAGTTATGTGAACTTCCAAATCCCCACCTAGCATTTCTGGGAGTTTATTGTCCTACTGGCCCTTAGGCTAGAAAAATAAATGTCTTCTGTAGAATACTCCCCTCACCATCAGAACCCATCGATGCCTTTTGAAACTGTTTCTTGCTTGACACTTCTCCAAATACATTGGAAGTATCATCAGTCTAGTTACAAACTGTTTTCTTTCATCAGTCTTCATAATCTAGTCTTACCTAAAAAGGGGATTGTTCAGGTATTGACATCAGATGTAGTGCTATATTAGTTATCCATACTATTGAGAAGATGTACTTGAGGGTAATACAACAGTGCATTTACAGAAATCACCAAGAGTCAAGTCAGTCCTGGCATCGGGTTCTAAGTCAAGTGCTATTTATTTGTAATGGCAAGACAAAGGCAAAAAAGATAGGCAAATACAGGCATAAAAGTTCAAAATTTAGTCAGCATTCCAAAGACACTCTAGAATGTTTAAAGATGTACACAGTGAGTTGGCCAGATTTCTTGCTGTTGGATATTGTTTACGTCGTGTGTGTGTGTGTGTGTGTGTACGTGCGGTGTGATTACTTTGGTTTCCTACAATCTTTCTTAAGAGGCATAAGTGTGTTTCAATTTTTCTGCTCTCAAGACTGTATTTCACAGTGAGCCAAAATGAGCATGGAGAGAAGGTGTTTTTATGCTACTGAAGCTGAAAAGAAAAAGTGAAAAGTAAAGCATACTACATAAGGCAAGACACTGTGTGATACCAGACGAGGCAGGGGTGATTGTTGGCCACTTCAGGAATCTGGATGTTCAGTGTTTTCAAATAGAATCATCATTCCTCTGCAGAGCGTCTCTCTTTATCTAACAGTTACAAATGGATCCAAGAGTTGCCAGAGTTTCTGAATTCTCATCTCATTATACAAACCACTAAAATGAGAAAAAGAATAACTTCCAAAAGCTTTCATGTAGTTAATGGCAGCAGGGCGAAGTTTGCCTTTGATATTCACCTGTTCAGCATACCTAACTTATTTTGTGCTTTTCTATCAAAAGCAACATCACAGGGGCATTATTGGCTGCTTTCAGTGTGTGTGTGTGTGTGTGTGTGTGTGTGTGTGTGTGTGTGTGTGTGTGTGTGTCTTGCATGTGGGCGCAAGAAAGAATTTAAAACAATTCTAATTTTTAAGACAAATATTGTTGTGTTTGCAAAATCAATATTGAAATAAAATAATAACAATGTTGTTCAAAAACAGGAATACATTATGTGTACATTATTATGTATAATTAATTATAGATATATATATATATATGTATAGATGTGCCCAAACACATAGAAATAGAGTTTCTGGGTGAGTAATGGAGTGCTGGGGTCAACCATCAGAATTAATTTTATTTTATGGTCACATAGTCATTTATTTAACAAATATTTATTGTATTCTTAAAGTTTGCAACACCTTGCTGAAGAATGCAGTGAAAGTAAGTCAAGAACTACACAAAAGCATAAAACAAAAGTAGTCTGTTTATTATCGAATAGCTTACAACTGAATAGAGAAACCCTGTCTGCATGCAGCTATGATGAAAACTAAGATGAATAATTCCAACTAGGCATCGAGGAGGGTAGGATAATTCTTGCTGGAAGTGGAAGTTAGAAGGCAAAGAAGTTTTCTTTGCTTTTCAATATATTGGACCTTCACTACACATCTGGGACTCGGCTTCCTGGTGAGAGCTTAATTTTTCATTTATTCATCCTTTTCAAATGCCAGGTGTCATTTTACATCATAGCTAACAATTTCACCAGAATTGAAAGAATAAGTAAATTTGGCCAAAAAAAAAAAGAAGTGAGGGAAGAACAGAGATGCTAAAAAAATAGGTGTTTCTGCTCCTGTCAGTACTTCTGAGCATTTGCCAGATGTCAAATACCATTAATGAATTGGGTGGGTGCTTCTTGGTACTGTAATATTCAACAGCCATCTTAATTGTTAATAATTCCCGAGAGCACTGGAGTGAAATATGAAAGGGGTGGATAGAAAAAAAATCAAGTTCACACTAGGAAGCCAAGTCCCAGCATACTTAGTGAGGGTCCAATAGAATGAAAGGCAAAATTGTTAATTTAAAAGTTACATAAAATTTATGGGCTATTGATACCAAATACAGAATTACAAAAATTATTATTAGCAATGGCTAGTACAAATATATAGGTTCTTTAGGCTCTGGGGTCTTTGTAATTACCTCAAATATTAACCCATACTAGCCTTAAAATAAATGTGATGATGATAATGATTATATTTGTGACACTAGTTTCTATACTGTGGAAACTTTTAAAAAATATTCTTTATATGAACATTAGATGCTGCCAATAACTATATGAGGTAGATGCTATTGTTAATATCTCTATTTCACTGATGAGAAAACTGAGGTACAAAGAGATTTCATAATTTGCTGAAGGCTTCATAGCTTTTAAGTTCAGAATCTGGAAAATCCAGGATTAAAATTTACATAGTCTGGCTCCAGAGCATGTTTTTAAATCATATGCACTGCTGCTCTCAGTGGATGTGATTATAAGAATAAATGGGTGAAAAGTAGCTAACAGTATAATGGTAGCTGAGATATAGGTAGTTGGTATATATGCCAGGCAGAGTGCTACAAATTCCACACACATTAACATATTCGATCTTCAGAATAAAACATTCCCTCTTCTCCTCATCCATTATTCTCCCATCCTATTCATTAAACATATGAGGTAATTGAGGCTCTGAGGCTCAATAATTTGCTCACAAGAAACAGAACCATAGGATACACACACACATATTTGAATATGCATATATATATGCACAAACATGTACATAATATATGCATATAAACATATAGGGCATACCTGTATCATGATGTTTTGGTGACTATGGCCATATAGTATTTGAAGTCAGGTAACGTGATGCCTTCAGATTTGTTCTTTTTGCTTAGCATTGCTTTTGCTATGCAGGCTCTTTTTTAGTTCCATATGAATTTTAGGATTGTCTTTTTTAGTTTTGTGAAGAATGATGGTGGTGTTTTCACAGGAATTGCATTGAACTTGTAGATTGGTTTTGGCAGTATGGTAATCTTCACAATGTTGATGCTACCCATCCATGAGCATGGGATGTATTTCCATGTGTTTGTGTTGTCTATGATTTCTTTTAGCAGTGTTTTTAGTTTTCCTTATAGAGTCCTTTCACCTCCTTGGCTAGGTATATTCCTAAGTATTTTATTTTATTTTATTTTATTTTATTTTATTTTATTTTATTTTATTTTATTTTACTTTTTGCAGCTATTGTAAAAGGGGTTGAGTTCTTGGTTTGATTCTCAGCTTAGACATTGTTGGTGCACAGCAGAGCTACTTAACTGTGTACATTAATTTTGTATCCTAAAACTTCTCTGAATTCATTTATCTAGGAGATTTTTGGAGGAGTCTTTAGGGTTTTCTAGGTATTCAATCATATCAGCAAACAGTGACAGTTTGACTTCCTCTTTACTGATTTGGATGCCATTTATTTCTTTCTGTTGTCTGATTGCTCTGGCTAGGACTCCCAGTACTATGTTGAATAGAAGTGATGAATGGGCATCCTTGTCTTGTTCCAGTTCTCAGAGGGAATGCTTTCAACTTCTCCCCATTCAGTGTTATGTTGGCTGTGGGTTTGTCATAGATGGGTTTTATTACATTAAGATATGTCCCTTCTATGCCATGGAACAAAATAGAGAACCCAGAAATAAGGCCAAATACTTACAGCCAACTGATATTTGACAAACCAAACCAAGACATAAAGTGGGGAAAGAACATCCTATTCCACAAATGGTGCTGGGATAATTGGCAAGACACATGTAGAAGAATGAAACTGGACCCTCATCTCTCACCTTATAAAAAAATCAACTCTAGATGGATCAAGGACTTAAATATAGGATCTGAAACCATAAAAATTCTGGAAGATAACATTGGAAAAACTCTTCTAGACATTGGCTTGGACAAAGACTTCATGACCAAGAACCCAAAAGCAAATACAACAAAAACAATGATAAATAGGTGGGACTTAATGAAACTAAAATATTTCTGCAGAGCAAAAGAAACAATCAGCAGAGTAAACAGATAACCCACAAGTGGGAGAAAATCTTCATCTGACAGTGGGAGAAAATCTATACTTCTGACGAAGGACTAATATCCAGAATCTACAAGGAACTCAAACAAATTAGCCAGAAAAAAATAAACAATCCCTTAAAAAAATGGGCCAAGGACATGAATAGACAGTTCTCAAAAGAAGATATACAAATGGTCAACAAACATGAAAAAATGCTCAATATTACTAATTGTCAGGGAAATGCAAATCAAAACCCCAATGCTATAGCACCTTACTCCTGCAAGAATGGCCATAATCAAAAAACAAACAAAAAAAATGATGGTGAGGATGCAGTGAAAAGAGAACACTTTTACACTTCTGGTGGGAATGTAAACTATACAACCACTATGGAAAATAGTGTGGAGATTCCTTGAAGAACTAAAAGTAGAAGTATTGTTTGATCCAGCAATCTCACTACTGGGTAACTACCCAGAGGAAAAGAAGCCGTTTTGCAAAAAAGATACTTGAACACGCAAGTTTATAGCAACACAATTTGCAATTGCAAAAATATGAAAGCGGCCCAAATACCCATCAATCAAAGAGTGGATGAAGAAATTTTGGTAAACACATACACACACGCACACACACACACACACACACACACACACACACACACACCATGGAATACTTTTCAGCCATAAAGAGGAATAGAATAATGGCATTCACAGCAACCTAAATAGAATTGGAGACCATTAGCCTGAGTGAAGTAACTCAAGAATGGAAAACCAAACATCATAAGTTATCACTCATAAGTGGAAGCTAAGCTGCAAAGATGCAAAGTCATAAGACTGATACAATGGACTTTGGGGAATTGAGGGAAAGGGTAGGAGGGGGGTGAGGGATAAAAGACTACAAATTGGGTACAATGTATACTGCTTGGGTGATGCGTGTACCAAAATCTCTCAAATCACCACTAAATAACTTACTCATGTAACCAAACACCACTTATTATCCAAAAACCTATGGAAATAAAAATAAAATTAAATTTAAAAAATTAAAAAATTAAAAAATACAGAGTATATATAATATACATGTATACATATATACATATACTCATATATATATAACATAGTAGCATGTATGGTGTGTATATATACACTAAAAGACATATATCTCTATATATTTATGAATCTACATATTTATTTATATAAATATCTCTATATTTATATAAATATCTATCTACATAAATATCTACATATTTATATAAAATCTATCTATATATTTATATAAATAAATAAATACATTTTGTACTAGGCATGGGGTCATGTAATTACAGAAGCTAACTCCCACAATCTTCCATCTGCAAGCTGGAGACCCAGAAAAATTGTGTAGTTCAAAGTCCTGAGAGCCAGAGTGTTAATGGTGTAGATTCCAGTCTGAATATGAAGGCCTGAGAACCTGGAGGGTTAAAGATTAAAAGATGGAGGTCCCAGTTCAAACAGGCAGAGAGGGTGAATCTTCCCGTCCTCCACTGTTTTGCTCTATTTGAGACTTGAACAGATTGGATGATGCCCTCCCACATGGGGAAGGGCACTCTGACTTACTACATCTACCAGTTCAAACGCTAACTTCTTCTGGAAACACCCTCACAGACACAGCCAGAAATGACACTTAACAAGACCTCCTGGCACTCTGTGACCCAGTCTGATTGACATATAAAATTTGCTATCACTTATCATAACTTTTCAGAGTAAAAGGAAGGGATTGTCACAATTTCCTCAGGACAACAAGTATAAATTGGATCTTTCCTAGATAATGCAGAATGTATATATTTTCTTCATATTAACTGAACCGTAGTTCTCTAGATCTGTGTTAAAATAACTCACAGTTAAAATCTGTGAGAAAGAAGTCATTCAAACCTAGATTCATTTTTTTTTTATTTGGATACTAATGTCCTCCCCAGACAAGAGTGTGATGGTGTGATTACAAGGATGTATTTTTCCAGGCCCACAAATTCTTCTCTAGGAAGCCTTTTTTAAACTTTCCCTTTTCTTTCTCTTATTAGTCCCACACATCCTCTGCTTCGCTCTGTTCTAGCTTGAATCAGACAGGATTCTTGTATTCTGGTTACTTGTTTGTCTTCTCTGTTAGACAATGAAGTTTGGAGGACAGGCAATGCATATGTTTTTCTTTCTTCCACCTAATGCAATGCATGGCATAGAGTAGGTACCCAAGGCATGTTTAAATGAGAAAGGGAAGGAATAAGTATTCTTGGTACTAAAATTATTTTAATACATTAGCCCATTTTATTTTCAAAATTTGGAGTCACTATTTCCAAGGAGAGATTTTCTGATTAAGGAGTAAAAGTTCCATACATTAATTTATTCAAACCTTCATTCATTAGGTCACTCAGAATGACTGCTTGAAGACTTTCAGGCAGTAAATTATAGAATTGATTAGTGAACATTATTTTGATTAATCAGGTAGTTTAATTTCAGAACGTGGTAGTGAATCTATCTCAAACTACCTGTGTTTGTGAAAAAGTCTCCAATCTCTTGGATAAAAATGTCATGATCCAATTGGCTGGGTCACTGAAATGATATTAAAGGAGAACTCTAGAAAAGTGTTTAAATGAGGTAATATATTGAAATAAGTCTGCAGCCTCCCCAGGTACCTGTTTCAAAAAAGCAACACTAGCTTGGCTGTGTAAGTTCTGGTCTATTTGTTTAACAATTAGTGATATTACATTTCCTCATAAACTGTATTAGACCCCATTCAGGCATTTAATCAATGTGTGCTTAAAAAAGAGTGTCAGGAAATCATGTACTGTTCCATGGCTGCTCTGGGGGTGGGACTGGCACACAGCATCATCCTAGGTATTCAGGTGTGTTCTTTCTTGATAAATGATTAGTCCTCATAAGACTTTTCAGTTCGTTGTGTGAGTTAAAAAGCAACCACTTGCACATGGTAAGATAGTCTCTTAAAAAGTTGTCTTCCCAGGGATTATGAGTACCATGAGAGTATAAAGTAGTAATTTCACTTAAATTATTCACAGTTACTAACATTTAAGCAAATTAGGCTATTACCTCAACTTCCAAATTAGAGAAGAACTTTCCTTTAAAGTCAATAGAAAGTTCTATTTGTTTCAGGTAATATGGTTAACTCGGTATCATCAGTTGTTTCTTTTAGTCATGTTGAATAGCTGAATCCAATAACACAAACACCTTTAAAATTTACTCCAAATGTCCAATGAGCAACTAATTAGTTTAGGCATTCAGATTAATTTTTCTATTCTGTAAATTTAGCTTTGCTTTTACTTTTATTTGTATTTGTGAGAGTTCATTTTTATAGAGAAATCTCCTGCTCCATCCTATCAAATTCACTATATGCTTAAAAATTCTAGCAAATTAAATTTGTGCTGGCAAAGAGATAAAACAAATAAATGGCTTAAAAACATCACAATCAAGTATGATAATAGCAAAGTGTTAGTGATTAGGAATGGTTGTAATGCAAAGATTTATTTCACAGAACAAAAGCACTTAAGCAGGAGTTTATATTACTGCTATGCTTCAGTGATGATAACATTGGGACTTCAACCTGCATAGCTACAATGATTAATTAAAGGCCTTGTTCGGGATGAGTGAGCACCATTATTGTTCTTAAATAGGAAAAGGCAGGTAACCATTACTGATTATTCCTCAATTCCCAGTCTTACTTGTTAAAAACTAAAGAATACTAAAGTAGGTTGTACAATTTCCAAGCTGCTATGAGAAGTAGAAAATAACACAATTTCCATACCATATATAAGTGAGAGTTGGATTATTTAAAAGATTTTTAAGTTAACAGCCAGATTTATCACTGATGGTCTGAATATATAATTTATGATGGTATGTATATAAGCTTCACTTATATCAGTAAGATATGAACATCTTTAAGGGGAAGCAATTTAGGATCCCAATACATGCTTCCAGCTATATATCTCTGTCTACAGCAAATACCCCTCATCAAAGGAAAAATAATATATACACATATATATGAAAAAAGAATTTACAGATCAAAAGACATCAACATTAAATATCTAATGAAAGCATCTTAATGCATTCTGAATAAGCATGAACTGTATTAGTTTTATTTTTCTAAGGCATAAATTATGTCAGATTACATCATTTGTTCTTTCTTTTTAAAAATCGTACCACTGTACTATTTTTTCTAATATAAATAAGTATTTTTGAGTATACTTGATAATATTTGGAGACAGTTTCTTTCTGAATATTGGAAATGCTTCTACCAAATCTTCTCTGCAAATATCCCTACCAATCTGAAGATAAAAAGCAAATACTTTGGAAAATGTTCCAGGAAGAACATTATCTTTGAGATTCTGTGGCTTGGAAGACATATCATTTATAACAGTTTAATGTTGCCAATAAGCCCTGAAATACCTCTGATTTGAGATATTCCCTCTCTTTATCTATTCCATCTATATCTTCTCTGGCATATACTGCAAGGAAGTGTGTCTTTTGCTTTTGACCACCAGGCATAGCAAAGGTTAAGTATAAGGTGAAGAGCATTATCGTACTGTATATATTTGCTGAATTACAACAAGAATTCTTACTTGACACTACCACAATACTCAGTAAAAAGACTCCAATGGGCAGAGTTTGCTTTTAATTTTAAAAGTCTTTCTTTAATTATACTAAATACATTCATTTTGTTTACTGTGCTTACACAATTATTAAACCATTTGCAGATGAGGGAATGGATACTGGGAGAAATCAATTTTCTAATGTTGCACAGTCAATAATGAAACAAGACTTAAACTTATGTCACCTTCTTAAAGTCTAAGATTAAGAATATGTTTTTCTTTTATATTACATGATATATCCAGAGAGGAGATTTTTGTTATTCAAAAGCCATATTCTCTTTATTTTTTAATATTTAATTTTTTTTTTTTTATTTTTTGAGAAGGAGTCTCACTCCGTCATCCTGGCTGGAATGTAGTAGCGCAATCTCAGCTCACTACAACCTCCATCTCTGGGGTTCAATTCTCCTGCCTCAGCCTCCCAAGTAGCTGGGGTTACAAGCATGTACCACCACTCCCGGCTATCTTTTTTTTTTTTTTGTATTTTTAGTAGAAATGGGATTTCACCATGTTGCCCAGGCTGGTCTTGAACTCCTGACCTCAAATGATCCACCCGCCTCAGCCTCCCAAAGTGCTGGGATTGCAGGCATGAGCCACTATGCCCGGCCTTCCAAAAGTCATATTCTCTTTAATTCTAAAAAGTATCAAAAACTAATGGTAAACTATGCATATTAAATAAAAATGTTGACTATAAAAATAGCAAATATTTCAAAACTCTTTAACTAGAATAATTTTTAGAGGAATAGTTAATTCAACAGTATTCATGAAATGGAATTTTATGTCAGCATTACAAGTAAAGAAGTAGATCCACATATGTCAGAATATAAAGATCTCACACATCTGAAGCATGGCCAGAAAAGCAAACTGCTTGATGAGACTGACTGCACAATCATGTTTATGTACTGTATTTTGCCTATGTTTGTTGTGTTTTTTTAATATATTTGACATCAAACTGGTTAACTATAGAATGACAGTGGAATGGGCCAGGGCTGTGAGGTTGGAAACATTAAGGATAGTTAGATTTAAGTCCACATTCTATATTATTTGCATCTTTAAAAACAGGCACTTGTTCTTTTTTATTTTTTATTTTTTCTGGCATCTCTGTAAGAGACAGTTATGGTACAGAATAAAAGTGAGTTTACTTTCTCATTTATCCAAAGAAGCCTTGTGCAGTTACCCTCTTCTCTTCTACCTCCCTCCATTTCTGGCTTTCCTTGATTCAGTACTTAATGTTTAGTGCATTTTCCATATTCCCAATGTGAAAACTTCCCATAAACCCAGAACACTGTTGCAGGATTTCTGGCCAGCACATGAGTTTTCAGAACGAGCTGAAATAAGTCGTTAAGAAGTTTGACCTTTGTCTACCTGGTCTGACTCCCTACCATTGCTTTTCTAATGATATCTAATATCTAAAATTAGAAACGCTGTCTCTACTAAAAATACAAAAATTAGCTGGGCATGGTGGCACGTGCCCGTAATTCCAGCTACTCAGGAGGCTGAGGCAAGAGAATTGGTTGAACCCTGGAGGCAGAGGTTGTAGTGAGCGGAGATTGCACCACTACACACCAGCCTGGGTGAATAGAGTGAGACTCCCTCTCAAAAAAGAAAAAAATATATCATTTATCTTTCCCATTATTGATTTTTTTTTAAAAAGATATTTTTGTTTATACATGTATATCTGAGAAGACCTCATCTGCCAAATCTCAGTTTGCCAGATGGGCTGATAAAGTTCCACACCAACTGAAATAAGTAGGCATAAGGAGCCTATAACCATAAATGCAACTTTCTCTTTCTCTCACAGTCCCACTTCTTTTTAGACTTTAATTAATCCCCACCTCCCTAATTCTTCCACACTATATACATTCTATAATTATTGTTATGATTATTATGTATGAGTATCAGCTTTGTTCAGGGCAGTGGGTTGTGTGCTGCATGAGACACACAAGAGAGCCAGGAAACCACAAAGCACGGTTTCCCACCTCTAAGAAGCATGTGAGCATTATTTGGTTCAAACTCAGGATGGAAATTAAGAAAGCACACTTTTTTTTCCATTTCTCAAACTGTGTGATTTCTCCTTTCTTTGTCTTCTTTGCCTGTCAAGAGGAGGTGATTATATAAGGCAATATTTAAAGACAGGTTCAACTCTGAAAACTAGTGCATAGAAATACACTCTAATTTAATAGTACTTATGCAGCCTAAATTTTTGCCCAACTGCAATTAATGGACGTGAGTCAGTTTGAGTATTTTAGCAGTGACAATCTTGATATAGTGATACCCACACTTGCTACTCAGCCCCTTTAGTCTGTCCATTTAGAGTCTTTGACTCACATGTTATAGTTTTCACACAAAGGACAGTATTAGAGTAAATTAGATATTTATACTATCATGAAAAAAAGTAATATTTAAGCTGCCTTTTAGAATTGGACATACTGGAGTTTGGTGCAGTTGCCAGTGGAGAATGTTCCTTAAAAAGCCCAACAGTAAGTAGGCAGGAGACATTCTACAGAAGATTGATTACCCCAGAATCTAGGAACTAGAAAAATCCACCTGCAAGTAATGGCCTTGGTCTATTTTTCTTTTACATCATCCGTTTATAAATCACAGCATTCTAATCAGTGGAGAACAATGAGCAATTGTGCCCAGTGTATAGTGGTGATGGGATGAACAGGTCTGTGAATGAATAATCAGTGATGTTACCAACACCCACAGAGCACGACACAGATGGAGTGGCTGGGTCTCCAGGCACTGATTGCTCTGACATCCTGTTGGTCTGAGGATGCTCAGGCTGAACTGTTTCTTGCTTATTTATATGCTTTAGCATGTAAGGCTTTTAAAGTGCTAATTCATATGTCAATATACTATATTGTTTTTCTTTCTATTTAGAAAATGAAGACAGAGAGAGAGAGAGATACATGATAACTCACCTAAAAAGTAGGGTTCTGCACCATATCATTTGATCATGGTGCTCTTTGCAAGTTAAACACTCTGGGAATAGTATTGCTCAGGCACAGGTCTGCTTTTAGTTGTCCAGATAAACTATCTGAGTAAGACAGATGAACATGTCCTCCCACAATCCTCCGTGAATGACTCCTTCTCTGAGATTTAGGAAAACATCCCACATCTTGTTTTTGAAACTAAGATATAACTTTGGTTATGGACTGCTACAGGCATTTGATTACTTTCTTCTTTTATTCTATTCGAAAGGCAATCAGAAAGACTGTCTAGGCCGGGCATGGTGGCTCATGCCTGTAAATCCCAGGATTTTGGGAGGCCAAGGCAGGTGATCACCTGAGGTCAGGAGTTCTAGACCAGCCTGGCCAACATGGCAAAACCCCATCTCTACTTAAAAAAATACAAAAATTACCCAGGCATGGTTGTAGACACCTGTAATACCAGCTACTCGGGAGGCTGAGGCAGGAGAATCGCTTGAACTTGGGAAGCAGAGGTTGCAGTGAGCGGAGATCGCACCACTACACTCCAGCCTGGGCGCAGAGCGAGACTCCATTTCAATAAATAAATAAATAAATAAATAAATAAAATAAGAAAGACTGTCTAATGCAGAGACTAAAGGCACGAGCTTTGAAACAACTTCTGCAGTTGGTTGCATGACTTCAAGTCAACCTCTTTACATCTCTGAGTCTCAATTACCAGATCTGTCAAATTGGAAGTGGCTGTCACATACAGGTAGGCATAGCAGCAATGGTGTGGAAATTAAATGACACTTATCACATAGGAATACCAACTTCACATGTGCTACTATCATTATTGTTTTTATATTTTTACAACCTAAACAAATGCGTTCATCTACCTCCAGTACTTCTGGTAACTTCCTGCTCATTCTTGGGGGAAAAAAAAAGAAATGATGTTGACTATGTTTTCCAGTTTCAGTAAGCTGAGCCTGAGTCATGCTTTTGTCACCCAACACAGCATTAATTATGGTCCTTGTGTATATGCTTATCACATCACATGCCCCCCCGTCCCTGCATCTGGTACACATTCCTTTTATGTCACATGTTTCACATAGCAATATGTGAGATACAGCTATTGCATATAACAATACTTTATAAGTATTCTTCTCTCCAATAATGATAGCTTCTGGGGGCAGGCAACATATCTTTTTATCACTTTAGCACAATTTATTTAGCAAAGTTTTGAGCTCATAGTAATTACTGAATAAGTTATATTGACTAATGAATGAATTGTTGTCTATTTCCTAGACTGTGTGTTAATGGTACTGGGACTCTGGCTTGGATTTTTAGAGATAAAATAGACCTAATGAGCATGGTGTATATCTTAATTGGAGTCAGTGTATCTGGGGTCTAATTTTAGTTCTGCAACTTATTTCATGGGAATAAGGGCAGGTCACCTACCTTCTTTAGGTCCCACATAACTAACATAAAACAATGGAATTATGCTAGGCCAGGGTTAATACATGGTTTAAAGTATATTCAGACACGCATCCACCTTCATTTCTGCATTGGAAATGAATTTTGATCCCAGATTTTGCTAACTGGGAGAAAGTACCATGAAAAAAATACTGGTGTCTGTCCTGAGAAGGAAAGAACAGAACAGCTATGCAGATGCCACATCTTTTTCAGTCCTGAGTGTTTCTATTTCATAATGCTATATTTCTAGCATTAAGCTGTTTCTTTTAAAGATGGCAAAAATTGGACTCCCAAAGATTAAACCTCTTGGGCAAAGTTACCTATGGAGTATCTAAGGATAGAGTTCTATATATATATATGGAATATAACATGACATTTATCCAGTTAGAAACAGTCTTTTTCCCCCAACCATGGGTCAGTTATGTCTGTCCTTCCACTGTACACATCACAAATAAAAAGAGCATAAACATAATTAGAAATGCTATTAAGACTATTTTAAAACATGTTCCTTAATTTGAAAACAAAGGTAATGAGAGGAGAGTTAGGAAGGAAAGGTGATCCGAATTGGCCAAGTGAATGCATTTTAAAATATAGCTTCCTGCAAATTGGCAAGAGTCAGAGATACAAGTGTAGAGCTGGCGCCTCAGGTTGGAGCTCTGCACTCATACTATGAGTTGAAGTGTGTGGCTGCTTAGCCATGAATCAGCAGCACCATCTAGAGGTGAACCGGAATCCTGCACACGGAAGAAACAAAAGGAAGCCCACCTGTTTAATTTGATCAACGACAAAATTATTACTTCACTTTTCAATATATAACCCCTTACAGGCTGTCTGTGAAAGAGTTGCTTTCTATTCCCATTAAGAGGCGACTGCAGAATTCGTTACTGGCAGCATTCAAGACTTCACGTCAGGCCGGGAGCGGTGACTCACGCCTGTAATCCCAGCACTTTGGGAGGAAGAGACCGGTGGATCACCTGAGGTCAGGAGTTCGAGATCAGCCTGGCCAACATGGTGAAACCCCATCTCTACTAAAAATACAAAAAAAAAAAAAAAAAAAAATTAGCCGGGCGTGGGGGCACGCACCTGTAACCCCAGCTATTCCAGAGGCTGAGGCAGGAGAATAGCTTGCACCTGGGAGGCGAAGGTTGCAGTGAGCCGAGATCGTGCCACTGCACTCCAGCCTGGGTGACAGAGGGAGACTCTGTCTCAAACAAACAAACAAACAAACAAACAGACTTCCTTTCAGAAGCCAAAGCTTACCTCCTCTACTTCCCTACTGAGAGGAAAGTCACTGATTTCCAAATCCCTTAATTTTTCCCATTCATTTTGCTGGATACCCGCCATGCCTCAGGCTTTGGGCAAAGCACTAGGGATACAGACAGGAATATACTATGGTCTGTCCCTCTACCCCTAGCCCAGCTATCCAAACCTAACCACATGTCTAAGTCTTCCTCTGTCTTATCTTTTTCAACAGTTTCTGGGTAGAGACAGATCTGTCAAGGCAGCCACTGGATTTTCAAATATTTGTTCTCAGTAAAAACATTTTCACTGAAATCATGTATTCCAATGAGTTTAAAGGGATAGAGATTCTCACGATCTTAGAGTAGTCACTATTAAACTTGGGCAACTTGGGCATACATGAAAATTATTACCTGGTGGTATGGTTAGGCTTTGCAAAATGTGAGGACATTTGGGAGGGGCCAGAAGCAGAATGATGTGGTTAGGTTTTGTGACCCCATCCAAATCTCATCTCGAATGTGTTTAGGGAGGGACCTGGTGAGAAATGATTGGATTATGGTGGCAGATCCCCCATGCCACTCTCAGGAATTTGGGAGTGAATTCTCACCAAGATTAGGTGGTTTTATAAACGGTAGTTCTTCCTGTGCTCATACATGCTGTCTCTCACCTGCTGATATGGAAGGGAAGTGCTGGGTAGAGGAGGGCATGGTCTCTGGCTATGGCTCCACCCCTGGGCCTGTGCCCACGGACCTAGGTGAAGACAGGCATTTTTGTTTTCCTGCCCAAATGTTGCATTTCCCAAGACCATACTGGCCTGCCACGCCCCCATCTTGTGCCTATAAAAACCCGAGACCCTCATCACGCCTGTAATCCCAGCACTTCGGGAGGCCGAAGCAGGAGGATCACTTGAGGTCAGGAGTTCGAGACCAGCCTGGCCAACATGGTGAAGCCCCGTCTCTACTAAAAATACAAAAATTAGCTGGGCGTGGTGGCAGGTGCCTGTAATCCCAGCTACCCCAGAGGCTGAGGCAGGAGAATTTATCGAACCCGGGAGGAGGAGGAGGTTGCAGAGAGCCGAGATCTTGCCACTGCACTCCAACCTGGCGAGAGAGGGAGACTCGTCTCAAAACAAAAACAAAAACAAAACAAAACCCGAGACCCTAGCAGGCAGACACACAGGCAGCTGCACCTCGAGAGGAACGCGTCAGCGGAGGAACACACAAGCGGCTGGAGGTGGAGAGTAATGCACCAACAGGCACTGACACTCCAGCAGGCCATAGACCGGCAGAACGATGCGGAGTTTGGCTGGGGCAGTCGGAGGAGAGCCCAGGTCACTGAGCAGCCCGACTCCAGGGGAAAACCTTCCCACTCCATCTTCTTCTGGCTTCTCCCATCTGCTGAGAGCTACCTCCACTCAATAAAACCTTGCACTCATTCTCCAAGCCCAGGTGTGATCCGATTCTTCCAGTACACCAAGGCAAGGACCCGCGATACAGAAAGCCCTCTGTCCTTGTCACAGAGTAGAGGGTCTAATTGAGCTGGTTAACACAAGCCGCCTATAGATGGCAAAACTAAAAGAGCACACGGTAGCACACACCCACTGGGGCTTCGGGAGCTGTCAACATCCAGACCTAGACACTGCTGTGGGGTCAGAGCCCCACGACCCGCCCATCTGTATGCTCCCCTAGAGGTGTGATCAGCGGGGCACTGAAGAAGCGAGCCACTCCCCCTGTCGCATGCCCTGCGAGGGGGACCAGGAAACTTTTCCCATTTCACTGCCACCATATAAGATGTGCCTGCTTCCCCTTCTGCCATGATTGTAAGTTTCCTGAGGCCTCCCCAGCCATGCAGAACTGTGAGTCAATGAAACCTCTTTTTTTATTACCCAGTCTCAGGTATGTCTTTATAGCAGTGTGAAAATGGACTAATACACCTGGTTTACTTTTTTACTGTAATACAGATTCCAAGGTTCCAAACCCCAGATTTTCCAATAATATAGACATGTAGGATTATGCATTATATTTTACTATGTTTGTTTGGGTTTCATGATTGAAGTGAACAACAATTCAGGCTTTAAGAGGGGAATGTTCTAATTTGGACTCATCAAGGGAACTAATCCCAGGATTATAAATTAGAAGTATCTGGGTTTTTTTAAATCACTTCCTCACTTAAATACCTCTGTTTAAATTTTAGACTAGGAGATATCTAAGAACTGCACCAATGCTACATCACTGTAGTGCCAAGTATTTAAAATAGCAATCCCTTAACATCACATGAAAAAAATTAGATCTGTCACAACTTGGTCAAGGGAACATGTTGAATTAGAATAGCTTTAAGAACCATTCTGTGGAAATACACACCCCTAAGTTTATTCATATCCATATTTTGATCTAAGTTTTATTAATATGAAAATACACCATGCAAGGATGTTTGTTTAGTGACCCCACTGTTAGATTTAACTGGGAATCCATTATATTAGCAAATTCACAGCTGTGAGGCTGTGTTGGTGCAAGGAAGCTGAAAATTAGAAACTTGAGTGGATTTCAATACCTAATTCCACAGCGAACGTAGGAAAATTAGAGCTGAAAAAGAAATTATTCTAAGTTGAAGGCAATTTAGCTTTCATTCTTTCTCATTTTAACAGTCCCTGTTTTAAAAGATGCCCAACTGTACATCTGTAGAACGAAAAAAAAAAAAAACTGAGTTTTTTGAAACAAACTCATGTTCTACATCCTTGACAATAAATATCTTTTATATATTTTCTAGTCTCTGTTCTTCCATTTATTATCATGGAAAAGGGCCTCTTTACATCTCAGTTGAACTATTGTACTAGTCTAATAAATTACCCTGATGACATTCTCACTTCCTAAACTCTCCAAATTTAATTTCCATCTTTCCACCAGGGAGATCTTTCTAAACTTTTCATATGACTGCTACTTGTGTAAAATCTTCCAACAATACTTAACAACAGAGTCCAAATTTATAACATTCATGTGTGATTTGGTCTCTTGCCTAGTTCATGAATTTCACCTCAAACTCAAATTTCAGATATTCTGAATTCTCTAACTCTCCAACTCTCCAACTCCTTGACACTTCCATGACTTTGCAAGTGATGGTTTATCCTGCTGGATCGTGGTTTGCCATCATTTCCTGGGTAATTCAGCTAAGTAATGACCTGCCCTCTGAAATTGATTTTTTTTTAACTCCCTAGGCTTTACTAGATGTGCCTTCTCTGGGGTTTTTGAAAACCCTATACATTCTATCATCAGAGCTTCATAGCATACAAGAAGAAAAAACAAGACAGAGGTCTTTTCCCTACTGGTCTTAAAAATCGCAGAATATGTGATTCTTACCTGTAATTATCATCAGAATGTGAGCTTCTCAAAAACAGAGAATACAATTAATTTTATATTCTCTAATTTTAATCTCGGTAATCACTTGTTAAATGTGTTCACGAATGTGTCCATTTAAATCTGTTTGCCCAACCACTAGTAATTCTTAAACAATTGTGGTGATTTTCTAAAGGGTCATACTTGTTAATCAAATAATTTTATCTGTGACTGTCATCTATAATTATTTTTGATAAATTGAGTTTCATAAATACACATTTAGGAAAAAAGTAAAAGAAAAAAACCCTCAGGGCAATATTGAAATCACAATGAAAGAAAAACACTTCAATGCCACCCGTCCCCCAAAATAAAAATGTATAATTGGCACTATGTTGTTTAATTATTTATTTTGTGTTTTTCAGTTTTGAAAATTAAAATATAATTAAAGGCCATCATTTTTATCTTTATTGGGGTGACTTGTGACAGTAAAGAAATCAGTGCCTTGATGATTGCATCAAGGTTCAATTATTCGAATGTTTGATTGCCCTGAGCTGCCAAAACCAGCCTGAACATTGGTGGAGTTATTTGTACACATCTTGTGCGAGATGAGCTAGCGTTTTGTTAGTTAATTTCAGCCCGGTTTCAAAAGCATCTCAGTAAAACATACAGGTAACCTTTGTGTTGAAGGGTTGAAGGCCAGGAAATTCCGTGAGCCTACACCTCAATGAACACAGGATGCCAAACATGGGCTGTCAGGGATCTCTTCTCTGTTGTAGTTGAACACCATGTTCACAATCCCTTCACTCAGTTTCTTTAAAAAAAAATTGTCTCAAATTTAAAAACCTTACACACTTTATGTTTTCTAGATTCTGGCTGGCTATGAATTTAAAACGAATGCTGACAGATATTTTCTAATTATTTTGCTCAGTCTTTCCATACTTTAGTTCTACATTTACTGTCAAATTTCTTAATCTATATCCTATCTTTTCCTTGCCTTTCCCATATTGCCTTTCCCTCTGAAATGCCCCTTCTCTTGAAGGCTCCCAGCTATGACTATTGCATTTACAGAAAGCAATTTAGTAATATATGTTAAGATATTAAATATGTCTATTTTCTTTTTCTAATATTCAATTATCAGGAATATATTCTATTGTAATAAAATTGATACAGAGAAGCTTTCAGTAACAAAGGTATTTTTATGACAACTTAAATTATAATACATTTTATTTATAATTTGGAAATAACAAAAGAGTAATAAGTGAATTAAATCTCTATCAATCTTCAAGATAGAAAATTACATATTTTTTGTAATCGTATCAATTTTTTTTAATAAAATTGCCGAACACTAAATTGGAGAAAAAAAAAGACCAGATGTAGGAATATCTAGATCAACAAAGAATAGAATATAGAAATATGAAAATATAAAAAAACAGAACAAATAAAAAGAGCTTATAAAATAAAGTGTTGAAAATATAACAGCGGTTATGAATTTTTTGAAAATCTGTAAGTTTGCTTTCCATCTCAAATTTTTCCAAAATTTGCCATATGGAGCATTTGTAATCTTGTAATTATTGAAAGGAAGAAAAAGAATATGTGATTATGAAACTAAGACATAGAGACATGGGACTTTACTGTAGGGTAAGAACACGCAAATTAATGCCACACTTTTTCAGGCTCTAGAACCTAGAATGATTTGAGGATTTTAACTATCTATATATCTATGTAATAGAAATACAGATCTCCAACCATCCTCTTCATATCTGTCTTTCTGTACCATTTGTCCATTAATTTAACCATCAATTATGCCATTTCTTAAAACACTCATTATTTTCTTGGGCTGGTGAATTAACTTGTTTGTTAGTTGTTTTACAGCATATTTAGGATGTGTCATATCCTAGTGGAAAGTGCCTGAACTCTGGAATCATTGAACTCTGCCATTTATTAATATGTCTATACGTAACTTGTTTCATCTCTCAGAGCTGAAAATTTGTCAACCAAAGATGAGAAGGGATAATGTATTATACTTCATAATATTATGGAGAACACAGGTTAAAAAACAAAACAAAACAACCAGTGCATGCAGGTGAAAGTTCCTGCATTAATGAATGAAAGTAGCACCCTCTTTCTCATTGAGCCCAATGTATATTTAGGGTCCAGGGTCCAGTGTATATTTGATAGGCAGGTAGAGATCAGGCAGCTTCATCATATTTCACATGCTGATCATTAGGATCATTTGACATTATTCTTGTTCCTTTATTTTTATTTTATGTTCCCTTCTTAAGGGTAACCTGATGTCATGGAGATATAAATGAGATTATTTGAAGATTTTTTCCTCCTGAGTTTAGAATGTTATTCCAGTCCTATCATATATCTTTCAGAATCATCCAAAACAAGAAATTAATAAAAGCAAAAATTGAAGGGTTGTATTTATAAGTACTTTGTCAGAGTCAGATAACTTGAAATAATGTTATACTCACTTTTTATTTTCATCCTCAAAGAAATCGTGTAGGGAGAGCAATGAAGATTTAAATGCCCATTATGAGGTGGGAAAACTGATTCTAATTGATCTATTGAGTGCTCACCAGCCAACTATGGTGGAAGTAATAGTAGCTCTATTAATAGTCGTAAGAATAATAATAGCAATGATAGTAATAGTAGTGATGGTAACTAAAATTGAGTGCTTACTATTTGCTAAGTCCTGTTGCAATAATTTATTATGTATTAACTTATTTAATCCAGGCAACTTTAAAAATTGTGTACTCTCATTATTTCCACTTTGCCAGTGACTAAAGTACAGAAAGCTTGACTGATACACTCAAGCCTGCCTAGTTCATAAGTACTGGGTCTGAGATTTAAAACCAAGCATTTTGATCCTAGATCCTCTGCTATGTTGCCTCTCTCCAGAAATGACAGGATTAGAATAAAACCTCAATCTAAAGCACAGTGGATATTAAAGTGGAATCCAATTGCAGGAAAGACAGTTTAATGGATATGAGTATGTGTTCTGGAGTCAAACTTCATAGTTTTGAAATCAAGGGATTTCAAATTTATTAAGATATAATTGACAAATAAGAATTGTATATATTTATGTTATAAAATGTGATGTTGTAACATCTGTATACATTGCAAAATGGTTAAATCAAGTTAACATCTCCATCAGCTTATATACTTATGATTTTTTGTGGTAAGAACATTTAAGATCTCCTGTCTTAGCCGTTTTCAAATATACAATAAATTATTAACTATAGTCACCATACTGTACACTAGATCTCCAGAATTTATTTATCCTGTCTAAAATTTTGTACCCTTGACTAACATTTTCCCATCCCCACCTCCACACCCCCAGAGACCCTGGAAACCTGCATTCTACTCTCTGATTCTATGAGTTCAACATTTTTATATTCTCATTACTCTGTGGCTATATACAAATGGGTCTATTTATTGGAACCTCAGTCTCTTCATCTGTAAAATGGAGATTAAAATCACAACCTACTCCATAAGAATGATGGGAGGTTTAGGTGATATAATTCACACTAAGGGCTGACATAAATTAAATAATCTATGTCTTTCAGCAGATACTATCATAATTAGTGCACATAATTAACCTGAGGCTAAGGCCAACATGGCTTTTGTATTTTTTGTTTGTTTTTGCCCATTCTTACTCAAAGCACATAGGCAATGCTAAGTACAAAATAGATGGGTGCTAAAATTTCTTCAGCTGGAGAAGAGACTACTCTAGCAATGGCTACAGAATTTATTGAGATTGTGGAGGAATGCTCAATTTAGGCTGTATGCAGAAATTGGAATTCAAGCAACCAATAGCCTCTGGAGGGCTGCAGACATGTAAGTTTTGAACTGCGCAACAGGCAGTCTATAAGATCTGGGATGCCATAGTATTGTCTTATAGTGTCCTGCGTTTCTCCTATCATTTCAATCTTTTCACTTTATTGTAATCGTTTACTCTTGATCTTCCTCACTAGACACTACATGAGGTTACTGACCAGCATTTTGCCTGAGACCAAACCTACCCTTCACAGGAATTCCAAAATAAATAATAAAAAAAAACCCCATGTAAATGGGTTAGTGCACCCTGGGATGAAAAGAATAGTTGCAACCACCAAAAGCTGGGGAAGCACAGGACAAGGCTGCCTAACATAGAACCTGGGATACTCGTCACACACTTCCCAGAGAAAGTGACTCTAGGTTGAGTTTTGAAAGAAAGATGGAAACTAGTCAGGTAAAAGGAAAGGAGAGATATTTGCATAATATTGCAGGCAAAGAAGAAACAGGTGACATCGTGGAAGGTGGAAAACCTAGAGTCTGGTGTCAATCTGCATGTCAGTGTGGCTGGAGTGTGGATTCCACAGTGGAAACACAGCAAGAGGCACATGTGCAGCCGAGGAGGAGAATAAGCAGAACTAAGCTGTGAAGACACAAATGAGATTCTGGAAAAATACCTCTCTTGATTAAAGGAAGAAGGCCTATTCCTCACCCCTGGGAACTTGCTAAAAAAGCCCCACCCCTGGCATATGTGGGTGGAACAGGCAAGAAAAATGGCCATGGGAGCTGCATTTTTGTTTTAAAAGTTTACCAAGTGATTCTGATTGAAACTGTTCAAAGATCACAGTTTGACAGGCACTGCCTCGTGAGATTTTTAAAAAGCGATTATTAACATTAACTGGTCATACTCTCTTCGGATATTTTGGAAATACACTCCCAACCCTTGCACACATTCACAATTAATCATTCGATTGACTTATATAATTTGTTGTGTTTTTAATATTCTAGGGACTATATACTAAGATTCCTTTTATAATTCTCTTTCCACTTGCCTAATTCCTTTAACATAAATGATTCTTTTTCTTACCAAGTTACCATAAGGAAGAACTTGACTCTTTTTTCAATTTCCCACTCTCACAGCCCTTTGACTTATCTAAGCTTTCATGTTTCAATTGAACTGGGCCCAAATGCTATCTCTGCACACAGCCTGACCTTGCCAATCACTCATCCTCCTTTTGGATAACATGTGACACTTTCTCACATCTCCTTACATTTTGCCTTTGACAGGCTCACCAGGGGTTTCCCTTGGACTTTGTTGCTCAACCCAGAAAGTCCCCCATCTTGCACTTCTTGCAATTCCCAAAATGAAAAGCACTCTTTGCTACCTTACTATATTAAGAATAAGATGGTCTCCACTTGAAGAGACACACTGATGGCATGACATTAAAATGAATACAGATGGTGGAGGCAAAGCTTCAAAGATACAGTCCAATTGGCATATCTCCTTGACAATGTAGGTTACTGAATCAAAACAAGGTTAGAAACCCATTTCTGTTCTGGCAGCTGTAACATTCCTTAATAGACATATTAAGATGTGTTGCTTATTTAAGCACTGAATTTTCATTTTGGGGCACATATGGAGAAAACGTGTTTATTTATACTTTATTTTTCCTAAGGCAAATTATATTTATGTAGGACTTAGAATAAGAAGAAAAGTAGAAGAGAGACAGAATTAATATTGAATAATACTTATCTCTGTACAATTTAATATTATGACTAGCTGGAATATAAGCTCCTTGAAACAAGGACATTATCTGTTCTGTTCATTGCACTATTCCAAATTCCTGGATTAATGCCCAAGAGTGTCCTGTAACAAATATATGTTGAATAAATAAATGAATTAAAAAAAACAATTGCAAGCCACATATGTAGATTACCTATTAGAGTGCTTGCTTTATATCAAGATCCTCAAATGGCAGCCATTGTTTTTACCATAACTGAGACTAATAATAATATATAAACATCTGTCTTTATGATGAATACAATATATCTATATATAGATATATTATTAATAATAATATAGATATTTATACAGGCATATTATATTATATGTATAATCTACATGCTTGATATATAATAACCACTGCTTCTACATCTTTGCTTGAAAAGTAAATAAAAAGCAGTTCACAGTAACTTGAATACATTATAATAAGTGAAAAAAAGGATGTGGCCGGGAGCAGTGGCTCATGCCTGTAATCCCAGCACTTTGGGAGGCGGAGGCGGGCGGATCACGAGGTCAGGAGATCGAGACCATCCTGGCTAACACGGTAAAACCCCATTTCTACTAAAAATGCAAAAAAGTAGCCAGGCGTGGTGGCGGGTGCCTGTGGTCCCAGCTACTCGGGAGGCTGAGGCAGGAGAATGGTGTGAACCCAGGAGGCGGAGCTTGCAGTGCTCCAAGATCACGTCACTGCACTCCAGCCTGGGCAACAGAGCGAGACTCCATCTCAAAAAAAAAAAAAAAAAAAAAAAAAAAAAAAAAAAAAAAAAGGCTGTATGGGAGAATGATCCAGTACATGAGATTAAAATAATAAAAAAATTATATCAAAGTAAAACTATATAAGCTTTACATTGCAGCACTGAAAAGAAGTTTACTGTGTATGCATATCTTAAACATGGGGAAGGCACAGGAGATGTGCGTGTAAGAAAGATCACACTAGCAGCTATAAGGAGGAAGGAGGAGCAGGGCATAGCATACAAAACGGGACATAGAAGGAAGGGAGCACTGAAGTCTGTATGTGATGGGCCAAGTGAAAGAGATCATGAAAACTGAACAAAAAGCACAGGGAGAAAAAAATTTACTTTACATTTGAGTTTCTAGATAATATTTCATTTTATTTTTACAACTAATAATAAAAAATATTTTCAATCTTGGTACTTGCATAATCACTGGTAGAAAAGAAACAGAAAGAGCGGCAAATCTTTTTTAAATGGAAGCTCTTCCTACACAGTTTATGCTGTTATGTGGCCAGTCACCACTTACACGCAGGTACCCAGCTGAACTGAGTCAGTCATGACCTTTTTTTTGTTTTTGTTTGTTTGTTTTTTGTTTTTGAGATGGAGTCTCGCTCTGTCGCCCAGGCTGGAGTGCAGTGGTGCGATCTCATCTCACTGCAGCCTCCACCTCACGGATTCAAGTGTTTCTCCTGCCTCAGCCTCCCGAGTAGCTGGGATTACAGGCGCCCGCCACCACGCCCAGATAATTTTTGTATTTTTAGTAGAGACAGGGGTTTCACAATCTTGGCCAGGCTGGTCTTGAACTCCTGACCTCGTGATCCACCCGCCTCAGCCTCTCAAAGTGCTGGGATTACAGGTGTGAGCAGTCATGACTTTTGTGCCAAAAAGTCCATGCAAGTTTCTGAAGGTAGGTAGGTCCTCACTTTGTAAATAAGATTTAACAATTCCATCAGAATTATACACAGAAACAAATTATGCTATTTCATCTCTAGCAATAGGCTGTTTGAAATTTAGCTTTATAAAGCAAAGGAAGGAACTTAGCATTCAATTTCGCAGGAGTGCACCTTGCCCAAAAGTTCCTTCCAGTAATGGCATCAGTTCTATAATATCCAAAAAGTAAAAACGTGTAACATCTCCTTGAATATCTTCAGTGGCAGAGAACTGACTATTATATCATTGGCAATCTCTTTGTATAATAATGACTCTGTCATATTGAGCTGACATATGTCTCCTTGGAAATTCATCCCATTGTTTCTATTCTCTCCTTAAAAAAGGCCTGCTTTCCCCTTGGTTTCTTTTTCAAGAGTAAACATGCCCCATTCTTTCCACAATATTTAAATGGCAGTGATTTCTGGAGCCTTGTCAAACATACTTGCCCTTCTCTATTTGTACTGCAGGTTGCCAATATGGCAGTAAATGAATGAAATGTCACCACTTGGAATCTTTCACTCTTGCACTTCTATAATCTCTTTGTTACATAACAATCAAGACATTCTTCTGAAAACCTAAATCCTGCCGTGGTACCTCCCCACTAAAATTTCCCATAATCACATAACACTTTCTAGGAGAAGGACCAAAATCTTTCAGTGCCCATGCCTTGTCTTTTTCTTCAGCCAATTTTGCAGCACTGGTCCCTTTGTTCGATACACTGGGATCACATTGATCATTTCTATGCCTGGAATGTATCCAGCTGTTTTCCAGCCCAGCACCTTTACACCCACCCTTGTTCTTTCTACCTCTAATTTTCTTCACTTCTGCTTTTATGTTGTCAACTGTTAAGCCTGATCTCGACAACAATTTCCTGGGCACCACTGTTGAGTTGTTATACTGTTTTACAGTGCCTCCCATTAATCCCTAGTAGTTAAGATTACAATTAAAATACAATTAAAAGTACTCTTAGTACTTAACAATTTTTAAATGTAGTTCTCACCTACTGGACTAATACACTTTATAAATATTAGAATTATGTGTATTATTTTCCCCACAGCACCCTCGGCAAGAAACATAATCCCAAATGCATAGCAGGAGTCAGAAAATATTGATTAAATTAAATATATAAGTTAAAATTATTTTCCCCATATAATACCTAAATCTTTACTTGTGAGACAGAATAGCATAATGCTTAAGACTTCAGGCTAGGGATGAAATTTTATCCTCCACCCAAATAGTTGTGTCATTTTGAGAAAAGTTATTTAAACGTTAAATCTTCATTCTCTTCTTATACAGAATGGGGTTAATAATCATTTCTCCTGCCTAGCCATAGTGTGGCAATTAGAAGAATTACATGTAAATCACTGAGCACAATTCCTACTTGAAATAAACTATGGTTAGCTTTGATTATTTGTCTTGCAGAAGCCCCACAGTATTGGAAAATATTAAGTACTTGCTAAATGGTTGTTGGAATGAATGGATCCCAGTCACAATGTACTGAAACACAGGGAAAACCCTCTGAATCAAGGGTCAGACTATTTGTATTCAGTTCTGCTCCCTCCAAGGAATGTCTCTGTGCTACCACGTAACAGCACTAATGATTCAATATGCCTCAGTTTCTTCAAATATAACAAAACAAAATTAGGATAGAATCTTTCTATCCTCTCTTTCAGTGTTGAAATATTATGGGTCAAATATGCTTTGTAGACAAGACCTCAAAATCTGTAATATTATTTGAGGCACGTTTAGAGTACCTGCTAGTCTCACAGTTGCCCTAAGGCTCTGTTTATGCAGGCAAATTGAAGAGGAGACATGAGGCTATTACAGAGTAGAATCTGGGAAAAGGTGACTCATTTGACCTGAACTGTCTCCACTGATACCTTTCCCTGGGAGACTGCTCAACTCTAGATTTGACAGTGTAGACAGAGCCTGAGGAAGGTTTGAGGGCAAATACAGATTGAGATAGTGAAACTTGCAAAATACATGCTCACTGCAAACTGTTTGATGATAAGGGATTGTACGTTGGCTGAGAGCATCATGTTTGGATGTAATGTAGTGTAATTTCTTTAACTCTACTTAGCTGGCCATATCTGCCAATAGTTTTGATTACACAATCAAAATGAAAGTTTGCAAGAAAAGCACGAGATTGATGTGTGGAATACATGCAAATGTAAAGTACCTTTGAATTCCAAATTTTTTCTATGTCATGTTGCATAAAAAAGAAAAATAATTTTAAGAATTAACAAACCGTAGCTATGGAATGGGAATTAAAGGACCTAGTGTTGAAATAAGGTCTTATACAGACTGGCCTTTGCACTCATTACCAATATATTCTGATAGCATCCACTTATCTCAAAACTCTCAAGCTATCTTTGTCTTCTTACAATTCTTCGATTATGTTGTCCTCCTTACAATTTGCAGGTTTGACTTTGCTTTCTCTCTCTGCTTAGACTACATTCCTATCATTCACTCATGTTTTTGTTTTCCTTTTGTTTTGGCCTAGCCAATTTCTATTTAAATTTTAGGTTTTATTTCAACTGTAGTTGTTCAAAATGAGCTTTTCATAATCTTTAGACCTCCTCTGGCAACCCCCTTCATATCTCATTTCAACTTGTAATTATTTTTTAAAAACCTACCATAGCTACAATTCATTAGTAGATATTTACTCATAAATATCTTTACTCTTTCTCTCCTTCAATTAGGCAAAAGATACTGTGAGCACAAGAATTATTTCTACTTTGTTTAGAGCTATATTCCTAGCAAAGCACAGATCAGGCATTGATATCTCTGGTTCCTAATGCACTGGGTAATATGTTATATGCAAGACCTAGAGTGGGTAATCAATAAAACAGCATTTTTTGAAAGCACGACCTGGGGAAGTCATTCTCCTGAATCTAAATTTTTGTTTCCTAGTATCTGAAAAGGAAGTTGAATGGCAAGATTCCTCACATTCTGTTATTATAGAGGCTGAAGGGCTGTTGTCTTCTGATTTGTGAAGAACTATTTTTGGTCTTTAATGGATTGCCTTCTATTCTTATTGTCTATTTACATCCTGCTCAGGTATCTAATCCACTCACAATAAAATCCTTTAATCATTTTTCTAAATTTCAAAAACATGGAACAATATATTAGAAGATGTTCTATTCCGAAAATTAGGAAATATGTTTTCTAAACTCAGTTCTGCCCCCAAATGACTATTCAATTCAGATAGATTATTTGGCATCTTTGGTGCTTAGATGAAATACATTCCATCACTTATGAAATAGAGGTGGTAACAAAGGCACTGTTTCTTGCTCTAAAGTTCCCAAGTCTCACATTATTTTGTAACTGGAGCAATCAGGCAAGAGAGAAAAAACGAGCTTGTTTATGGTGACAGGGCCTTTGGAAGTGTCAGAGGTAAAAGGACCTGTTGCTAGTGAGAAGTTGCTCCTGGCAGTGCCATGCCTCTGGGGAACAGGTTGGAGGTTGAATATTATCATAGGCAACACTTGAATTTGGTATATTGCAGGGTGAGTGGGAGTAGGGTGCTCTCTAACATTTGCGCACCTGTTTTCTTCGTGAGATTAAAATGTTCCATTGGTCTATCACCTTCATGTTATTTAATCATGGTATAACTTAAATATCTTAGAAAAGGCAGGTAAATCACACCCTAAACCAATGTGACAGCAAAGACAAATTACACATATCTGAATATTCAATGCTTTTTCTGATGAGGCAAGTTGTATGCAAAAATGTAAATTTGTTTATTCTTTAAAGACATAAATGTGGCAGCTTAATGCAAATTAAGTGAAAGAAAGTCCCATATGTAAAACCACAAGATTTTATAATTCTACCTACATTTTCCTCAAGAGAAGGGATGCTTTAAACAAAAACCCTTTAGTTAATTTAAATGTAATGAGAAATGCAGAAATATACCAACATTCAATGTAAATTCCATTCTAATATTTATACTATAGAATAATTTGCTGCTGTAACAAATTTTAAAAAATCAGAGTGAGTTAGTGGTACTACTACCTATTTCACTGTGGGTTTCCCTGAAATTCAAGAACCAAACAGTGGAGAAAGAGATCGCCCCAGAAGGAAGCCAGAATTTAAATTTACTTATAGAAGCAATGTTTCATTAAAAAAAATTATCTTACCTCACAGAGTTGTCTTGAAACTGTCCTGATGGAAGCAAAGAAAAAAATGAATTGAGGCTTACTTATAAAGATAGGAAATACTTACAGGTTTGAAAATGGCTTGTGATTCTTCCTCCATTTCAGTGTCCAACAAGCTCAGTTAGAACGTAAATGCAAGTCCTGGTGAGTAAATTAGAACAACAGTACACCAATGAGAAATGAGAGAGATGGTCATTACACACAGACCTGAGAGTTGCAAAAAAGATGGCGATTGTTGTGCTAATGTTTGCCGGAGGTATCCCACAAGCCTGAGTAAAGTGAATTTCACCTCTTGAAGTCTATTCTTTAATTGACACAAAAATGCAAGTCCCTGGAATGAGATTTGGCTGCTACCTTAAGGGTCGTGGGTCCTTTATCTTAATGTTTTATTGATGGAATTCTGCCATGCCCATCACTTGGGACAGTGTCAGGAGACTCATTAGTGCAAACAGCTCTTAGTTCCAAAGTTCCTTTACCAATCCTTTTCGCTGGTTTGAAAAACGCTAAAGAGAAAGGGAACAATTTGAGCATGGCTAAAGGGCTGTTTACTACAGCAAGCCATAAACTGCTTTTCTCATTCCCCTTTTGTAATTCGTATTTTATTTCATTTTCTACTTTTACCTGTGGTTCCCCAAGAAGGAATTCTTGTACAAATTCAATCTTCTAGACTTAACAGCCTTCTTTCTAATTTTTTTTTTTTTTGGCCGCTTAACTGTGGCTAGTGTACACTGTGATTCAAATATTCCAGAGACTTATAACATTCTGAATAATCTACTTTGTCATGTTGGAGTAGTATTCAAAAATGTAGACCAGGAGGGTTTTACTAATGATGTAAGTCTTATATCCCACATATTCTGTATGTATGTGTTCCTAATTTTCTTTTGCGGGGGGCAATCTTCACCCAATAAACATAGGTAATTATTGAGGATACTTTATTCAAGTGTTCTTTGACCAATATAATTTTGTAGGATTCCATCAAGACAGTCCAAAATTGAAAAATAAAATCTTCTCATAAGCAATTTCCAGAATTTTACTTCCAAGAAAGTTTTCATACAAAAACATTGTACATAAATACCAAGATATTTTAAAAAGGGTCAGTCGTGGTGGCTCACGCCTGTAATCCCAGCACTTTGGGAGGCCGAGGCAGGTGGATCATGAGGTCAGGAGTTCAAGACCAGCCTGGCCAACATGGTGAAACCCCCGTCTCTACTAAAAATACAAAAATTAGCCGGGCAGGTGGTGGGCACTGTAAGCCCAGCTGCTTGGGAGGCTGAGGTGAGAGAATCACTTGAACCCTTGAGGCAGAGGTTCCAGTGAGCTGAGATCATGCCACTGCCCTCCAGCCTGGCGACAGAGCAAGGGTCCATCTCAAAAAAAAAGACAACACACACAATATGCAAAGATATTAAGATCCATAAGATTATACATACACACACCCATAAACACATATATACATACACATATATACATATATATGTGTGTGTATGTATCTTTGGATTAGTGTTCAAGAAATGTTTATCAATATATTATCTCTATGCTGGCTGGTAGCCATTGACAGCCAGGGTAGTATTTTCTCAACTAAATATGAACTGGCACATACTCATTATTGTTCAGTGTTCAGGCATTTATGAGCAAAAGGAAATGGAAAATATCAATGGAAAATTCATTCAAAGTATTGAGGGCCTATTGGACCACTCTGTATATAACTCTGCTGAGGGTATTTGTGTTTCCAAGATTCATTTTCTCTCCACACTGAACACTGCACATGCTTGCTATAGGGCTTTATTCTTTTCATATTGCATAGAACATACTGATTAAGGTTAATAATTCTCATGATGCTGATTTCATTTATTTAAAACTAGTCAAAACTTTGGCCAATGTACGTACTCTCTGTGTCTTTCACTGTCTTGGTCTATGTTTATAAAATGAAAATAATAATATTGTCTATTTCATAGTTTAGTGGTAAAAGCTGATAGAAATAGCCATATTTTTATCTCAGTGATTCACACATAGTAAGCATTAAATATATTATTGTTGGTTACCATGATTATTGTTACTGTCAATATTATTTATTATCATTGCTTACACGTCCTTTCTTCAGACATTTGTTAGGCTTAATCTTTATTTCATGATCTGTAAAAACTTGTTAGTTTTTTTGTCTTCACTTATCTCTTTTAATCTAGAATCTATTATTTCAATTATGGTACATAACTCAAATGTTTACTAACTTCCATTTCCTATGTGTTCTGGTTTTAGGTAAAATCACTCTAATAGTTTGTCCCAGTACTGCTGGAATGATAATAACATCTTTGTGCTAGTGATGGATAAAAACTTAGGGAACATATCTTACTTTCTGATTTAAAAAATTTTTTAAAACAAAATATCTACTACAATATGTCCTATTCATATGAGCCTTATTATTCTACTGTGGTTTTTGCATCTTCAAAATTGCTTGAAAAATTAAAAAAAAATATGTGATTATTAACACAATTATTTATTATTTTTTTTTTTTTGAGACAGAGTTTCGCTCTTGTTGCCCAGGGTGGAGTTCAATGGTGTGATCTCGGCTCATTGCAACCTCCGCCTCCCACATTCAACGATTCTCCTGCCTCAGCCTCCTGAGTAGCTGGGACTGCAGGCATGCAGGCAAAAGCATACCCAGCTAATTTTTGTATTTTTAGTGGAGATGGGGTTTCACCATATTGGCCAGGCCGGTCTCAAACTCCTGACCTCGTGATCCGCCTGCCTCAGGCATGAGCCACCGCACCCAGGCCTGATTTTTTTTTTTTTAATAGTGTGTTCAAAGGAGAACTTCTCAGTGAGTTAGAATTGTGTTTCAGCTCTTGCTTTGCCAGCAAGTAGCTTTCCTATCCTGGAAAATGTTACTTCATTTCACTGAATCTTAGTTTGCTTATTTGTAAAGTTTATAGCGGGTAATTCTAATATAGGTCTAATATAATTTTAAATAGACTGCGAGTAAAATTTAGAAATGTTAAACATAGACTGGACCCTGTAGGAGCTTGATCCAAGACAAAAAGTAATAGAGAAATGATGAAAGCATTTAAGAATTAACAAAGGTATTGCCAATGTAATTTGTAGTAGAACTGGTTTACAAAAGATATATATTATGGAATGCGATATTTTGGAGTTTAAATAATCTGAGTATCAACTCCAGGCTGGCCCTGACTTCTCCTTCATAATTTATATCTGTTATCAGATTCAGTCGACTTTCCCTATTTGCAGGTTCTACATCCACAAGTTCAATGAGCACAGATAGTATATACTCAGAAAAAAAAAAATAAGACAAATAAAAAACACATAATAACAGCTATTTGTATTTTAAATGCTATTAAACGTTAATAGTCTTTATATTGTATTAGGTATTATAAATAATCTAGGATAATTAAAGTACATGGGAGGATATATGTAAGTTACATGCAAATAATACATAATTTTATATAAGAGACTTGAGCATCTGTGAGTTTTGGTATCTGTGGGGGTCCTGAATATTCCCTAATTGCCAAATCTTACAAATATATATTATCTCAAATTTAGAGATAATAATATTGAATTGACCCTCAGTTTAATTAATTGTGCAAGCCACTAATTTTTAGTGTTAAATTTTAAGTACTAATCTTTCTGACTTTGAAAATCCACATTTTTTTCATTTTTGCTGCAGTCTTGTAAGTGATGAATCAATATGAGAAGCAGTATGAAAAATCTCACTACTATACCAAGTTACGAAGGCAAAGAGAAAGAAAATAATTGAAGTTTATATTTTTTCGAGTAAAATATTTCTGACATAGGTGTGTAAGAAAATATGTGACTCAGTAGTCATCATGCAAAAAAAAAAATCCCATCTTTAATATATTCTCCCTTAACATATCTATCCTGAGAAATAGCCCTCATCTTAAAAAAAAAAAAAAAAAAAGGTGGGGGTGGCTGGCATGCTGAGCAGTTCTACCTAAGGAAGCAAATAATCAGCACTCCGAGATTTTTGGAGAAAACAACTCAATTTGCATTAAGTCGTAACAATGTCACACTTAAAGTTTGATACACGGGGCATATAGAATTTTTTAATGGAAGTTAGAAAAAGATGGTCTAGAAAGGAAACTTAAAAAGAGTATATTAGCAAAGACTTTTTCATCCTCTTCAGTAAGAATTTTGTAGTAGAGCTGATTATAATAGATCTACATATATTATATTTATTTACAATAAAATGTACTTAAGTTTCATTGGTGGACATATGATTCAGGTATCTTCACTTGATAATTATAAGGTATAAATAAAATTTGAAGATAAAGAATGTTCTGCTCATTGTGAGATATTTCTAGGCACCTGGGCTAGTTGTGTCCAGACTAATTTGCTCTCAAAATGTTAGCTAATGATAAGAATGGGTAAAACTTGACGTAGGGTTATACCTATATATAGAACATGTGTTACAGGCAGAATATTGTTTCCCCAAGGATAACCATGTCCTAATGTCCAGAACCTATAAATATGCTATAACAAAAGAGAACTTTCCAGTTAGATTAAGAGTACAGATCTGCAGATGGGGAGATTACCCTAATAACATGAGTTTTTAAAAGGGAAAAATGATGGAAGAAGAATGTGACATGAAAAAGACTGGACTTGCTATTGGTCACTTTGAAAATGGAGGAAGGGCTATTAGCCAAGGAGAGCAGTGAATGGCCCTTCATCTTACAAGCAGCAGGAAAACCCTGGACCCCTTTCCCACCACCCCTTCGGAACTGAATTATGCCAACAGCTCCATGAGCCAGCAACAGATGCTCCTCTATGGCCTCCAGAATGGAATGCAGCTTGCTGACAGGTTGATTGTATTGCAATGAGGTATGTATCAGACCTCAGACTTTCAGAAATGTAAGATAATAAATGTGTGTTGATTTCAGCCAGTAAATTTGGGGTAATTTCTTATGTGGCAATAGAAAACTAATACAGCATGTTATATATTTCATTTGTCTTGCAGGATAGTCCTTACACAGTGTTTTCTGAATACCCAATGATAGAGAATTTTAATAAATTTCCACATAAAAGTAAAAGCATAGACATGAAATACTGTTTTCAGACATATAAATTATTCAAACTGATAGGGTTTGAAGTATTGAATTGGGATAGAGCTTTCACTCTTAATTTTGGTTTTCCTTGCAGCCTATGGGTCAATTATGAGAACAATAAACAATATTTTCAGGTCAAGAAACAGAACTACAACAAAAGTTAATTATATTGAAATACAAATTACTGAAGTATTTTTATAATGATATAGAATTATAAGTGCTTCCCCATTAATACATTAAATAAAATATACTGGTAGGTTTCTTATTATTATTATTTTCTTCATTATTGTTAGTTTATTATTATAAGTAATATTTCAATGTATTTAAAACAGTATAATAAGATTGAAACATATTTGCAGTGGCCAGGAATGGCAAACTGTATTAATAATGATTCTATGATTTGTTTCCTACATGAAGCATAAAAAATATTAAATTAGGTGCACGATTTCCCCCTTTTGAAGTCAGAGTCCCTAGCACATACTCATGGATAAGAATTCCTCCTCTATGTCAACAGACTTATTAGGTTCCAAGTTTACTGGTGAAAAGCGACCTGTTCAAGAGAAGTCAAAGAACAGTGTATTCTAAAGACTATCAGCAATTTACCTCTAAGTGATAGTGAACCAGATAACATGCCTATGAACAACGGGAATGCTAATTTTCCTCAACTCTTACAGAAACAGTAGATTCTTCTGTGATATCGATAGATTAAGCAAAATGACACCTTATTTTGCTTCTTGTTGTCATTGCTAAATTGCATTTTGAAAACATTAATGATCTTTTTTTAAACATCTCATTTTAATCAAATAAATAAGTGTCCTAAAATTGACAACGGAACAAATAAAGTTGCTGTCTACTATGACACATACAATAATTGCATTCAAGATGCTTACAAATTTAAGGGAAATGAAGCATGATAAAGAAGTAACTGATAATGGAGCAGGTAAGCAATGAGTATATTGGATTTGGTGTGTGGGGGATGAGGAGTCGAGTAGACAGAGGAAGCCAGTAAGAATCAGGGTTGCTTAGGTGAGATTAGGGACTTCAGAGAAGAGGCAATGGCCGAGCTGGTTTCTGAAAACTACATGCTTTCTAGATCAAGGATTTTCATTTTCACACTACAAACATTTTGGACTGAGTAAGCATTTGTCCTGGTCGACTCTGCTGGCCATTGTGAAATATTTAGCAATATCTCTGGCCTCTATCTATAAGGTGCCAGTAAGAACAGAAGTTATGACACATAAAATATCTTCAGGTATTTCCCAATGACCCTGGGGCACAAAATCACCCACTGGTTGAAAACCAGAGCTCTGAGACCATGCTACTCAAAGTGTATTACAGGTCTCAGCAGTATTCCCATCACCTAGAAGACTGTTAGAAATACACAGCTTCAGGTTCCACTCCAGAATTACTAACTTCAAATCTGCCTTTTAACAAGACCCCCTCGCCTATTTTGCATACACAGATTTTGAGAAGCATCTAGGCAGTTGAAGCACCTGGGAAATGGGAACAACACAAACATTAAGAAGGAATAATATAGAGAACTTCAAGTGGTCAGAGGGCAGAGTAGGAATAAAACGCAAGACTGGAGAATCAAGCAAAAGCCAGAAGATAACACCTTTACAAGCTCATAAAGCATCAAGATGTTCTCTGGGCAAAGGACTTCAGTGAAGATTATTGATTAGAGAAGGAATGAAATATGATCAGATTTGCTTTAAAATAATTTTATGTTTGTGCAATTTAATTGTCACTCTAATTGAATGATTAAAGTAAGAAATGGGTGATTAGTTTGTGAATTTATTTAATATCACCCTCCGTATGAGCAACTGGCCATTTTCTGGTTAATTTGAAAATATGACCTGTCCCTCAAATCAAAGAGAGACCGTAAGTCTATAAGCAATTGTCAGGCAAAAATGTATAGCATTCGATATTTCTTTAAGAAGAAAGTCATGTGTAATGGCTGGAGAGGCATCAAGTTAAGATTAAATCTTTATATCATATTTAGATAGATTTCCTGCTGTTCTAGAAATTAATTTGAATCAATCATGATCTTTCCACCCTTTGTCATCCTTTATTCCACAGCTGAATTAGTCCATAGCACAGCAGCCTTACAAACTTGGAGGTCTGATTTTTTTCAGTTTGGCCTGGGGATAGGAAGTCAAAAGCTGGCAAGAGACAAATGCTTTGCAGAAGTGACAAATTTAGTTTCCTGGAGAAAGTTGCTGACTGCAATGTTCCAATTGGAACAGCTTATCTGCTCCTCCAGATGTTGAAATAATGACAGATGGTCACAGAAGCCTTGACAAGAGGAAGAAAAGAGCCCACTCAAGAGTACAACCTGTTTGTATGGAGAAAAATACCAGTAACACTTCTCGAGATCCCCATTCTGATGAGGCGTATATACATCTTTACAGCCGAAACATGGTATGACTGTATGCAAATTCACTGTAGGAAATTAGAGGATTTTGTGCTGTTGGAGACACAGACAAAACAGAATTATGACTCTTTTTTTCACAGGGTTTATAAATCATGAGGTCACTTTATTAAATATGAAATTACATCTGTGTACTTGAGCTGAATGACAGGACACTGGTTTATAATGACTAAAGATGTATGATTGCATTTTCCACACTCGTGGCAGAGAGATGAGTATTCCATTGTGTGTGACATTTCCAGCAATTCATATTGAAGATGTGTTTTAAAATCATTAACTTATTACTATCTAAATAAGGAATATAAATTAATACTTACCAAGCAAGTAAAAATAGCAAATCTTTAAGCAACTTGAAATTTTGTACGGTAGCACAAAAACTCACAAGATATTGATCCTGGCTGTACTAAAGAGTGACTAGGTGATATATTAAAGAGTGCATAATAATGAGTGATTAAGGGTCATTTAAATTATTTTACATGCAGATAATTATATTGTGTTTGAAATGTCAAAGACAACTTACCTGATGTATGTGTATGTAGGAAAAACAAAAAGCAAAACTGTGGTATTTTGTGTATCTGTGTCTTTTTCTGTCTTTTTGCATCTTTGTTTTTTTTCTCTCTCTCTCTCTCTGATTTTCTTTAAAAGAGGTCATTAATTCTCCTGTGAGAGAAACTTTTCTTTACCAGAGGAAAACTACGCAATTGTAAAATATAGTTTGCAAGATGAAAGAAATGTTTCTCCAAACACTTCACCTTCTCTAAGAGATTTCTTTGCATCTTACCTGGACTGCTGAAGAAGCATTTTCACAGTATCCTTTGCAATAACTTCCCTTGCATAGCTGAAAAGCACTTATTATGAAATTATTTCTGCATTCAGTTGAAATCTAATTCTTGTCTGTGCACTCTGAACCATACTCCTCAAGTAAATCACTCTATGACAAAGGACTAGTATCTAGAATCTATAATACAAGAAACTCAAACAAAACAGCAAATAATACCACCCGTAAGTGGGCAAAGGACATGGATATTTTTCAAAAGACGATATCGAAATGGCCAAAACAAATGAAAACATGCTCAACATCACTAATCATCAGGGAAACGCAAATTAAAACCACCATGAGGTGCCACCTTACTCCTGCAAGAAAGGCCATTATTAAATTTTGAAAAACAATAGATGTTAGTTAGTGTGGATGTGGGGAAAAGGAAACACTCATATACTGCTGGTGGAAATGTAAATTAGTACAATCTCTATGGAAAAGAGTATGGAGGTTCATTTAATAGGTATAAGTAGATATACCATTCAATCCAGCAATCCCACTACCCAAAGGAAAATAAGTCATTATATAGACACTTGCACACATATGTTAAAAAGGGCAGAATTCACAATTGCAAATATGTGGACCCAATCTAGGTACCCACTGACTAATGAGTGGATAAAGAAAATATGGTATGTATACACCATGAAATACTACTCAGCCATTAAAAAAAATGAAATAAAGTCTCTTGCAGCAACTTGGGTGGAGCTGGAGGCCATTATTCTAAGTCGACTAACACAGGAGTAGAAAACCAAAAACCGCATGTTCTCACTCATAAAGAGGAGCTAAGCTATGAGTAAGCAAAGTGACATAATAAACCTTAAAGACTCAGAAGATAGAGGGTGGGAAAGGGGCTAAGGATAGAAAATTACACATTAGGTGCAATGTAATCTACTCAGGTTATGAATGCACTAAAATGTCAGTATTCACTACTATATAATTCATCCATACAACAAAAAGACCACCTGTACACCAAAAGCTATTGAAATAAACATTTAAAAAAAAACATTAAAAAAAAGCTGATACCCCTGACCCAGAAAAATATAACAAAGTTTCTTCCCCCGTAATGATTCATTTGAGTTAATGTGTAATCTTTCCAGTTTGTAATGACATTTTAAGCATTAACTCTAAGTAGAGAGGACAGTGTGCTCTTAGGTAATTACTAAACACCCAACAGTTATAAAATTCATGTATCTGCATTTAGATAACAGGGATATCTCTTATAAATCTAGCTTATTGTGTCACATCTTACACACTATTTGCCTTCCCTTCTTTCTCTATGACACCAGGGACATACATAGTTTGACCAAAATCCTTCTAGCTGTATTTCGGATCTGCATCTTCCAACCCCACAACCTTATCTACTCTACATCCACAAAACTGTATTTATGTGATGAACATTTTCTTAAGTCCTATTATGCTTTGGGCCTGAGCTAGCTGATTAAAAGATGATTCAGATGTAATTATTGTACACCAGGGATAGACAGATGCAAAGGAGTCTTTGTCAAAACCTCTATGTCTTTGTAATTCCCTGTTAAGATAAATTTATAGCCATGGGAGTTATTTATATATAAGGAAATGATGGCTGAGAGAAGTTAAGATACTGACACTAAGGGGTGCAACCAAGACTCAAACACACTCTATGAATAAATCAGAAAGTTGTAAGCCAGCTGGATCTTTAGGTGTACCAAAGAGGGGACATGAGGAACTCAGGAAGACAGAAGCATGCCAGAGTGGACAGAGAACAGGCTGTTCACACAGAGCCTTCCATAGCTTCCTACTGGTGTATTGGAATGTGACACACCTCTCAGTCTACTCTAAATAGAGTCTAAACAATCCACCAAGGACAGCGTATGTTTACATTACACATGTTTACACACAGCCCTGCTTTGAATGATTAACAAAAATAAGCTAGAAACCCAGAACTTCTATGAGCATGTAGCAAAGCCACAGATATAATTCTTTCTGAAATTTTTAATTTGGCATTTCAGAAAAATCCAGACATTTGAGTCTTCTGAAGATCCTCATGTAGTGAGTAACAGATAAACAAAATTATTCAGTTTTTTTTTCTGTTGAGCAAACCAAAGAATATGCTTGTGCATTCTCTTTGCTGCTAATTATTTACATCATTGGAGAGAAGATAATATATGAGTTATACAAGCTGATGATACATTTAAAATGATAGTGTCCTTAGGAATATTTTTATTGAAAACTCTATATTCCAAATCTGGTCAGTGAAGAAATCACATTGCCAATCATTACATAGGCCATTATACCTGTTTTAATACATTGCATATTCTTTTTCTTTTCTTTTTTTTTTTTTTTTTTTTTTTTTTGAGACGAAGTCTCGCTCTGTCACCTAGGCTGGAGTGCTGTGGTGTGATCTTGGCTTACTGCAACCTCTGCCTCCTGGGTTCAAGCGATTCTCCCTGCCTCAGCCTCCCGAGTCGCTGGGACTACAGGTGCGTGACACCACACCTGGCTAATTTCTGTATTTTTAGTAGAGATGGGGTTTCACCATATTGGCCAAGGCTGGTCTCGAACTCCTGACCTCGTAATCTGCCTACCTTGGCCTGCCAAAGTGCTAGATTACAGGCATGAGCTACTGTGCCCAGCCTTATTGCATATTCTTTGGCAAAAATACATGTTTTACATTTCATACCTTTTGAATAAACAAATACTCAAATCCATTTAACAATGATTAAGTTCTTCTCTTTTTTGTTTTATAAAACACATAATTTACAAATGTAACCATTTTAAGTTTACATTTCAGTAGTGCTAATGTATGCTCATTGGTGTGCAACATCTCTCTAGAAATTTTCCATCTTGCAAAATTGAAACCCTATATACACTAAACATTAACTCCCCATTTCCCTCTCTTCCAGACCCTGGCAGTCATCATTCTACTTAATGTTCCTAAGAGTTTGACTACTTTAAATATCTCATGTAAGTGAAATCATGCAGTATTTGTCCTTTTGAGACTGGCTTATTTTACTTAGCATATTGTCCTCAAGTTTCATCCATGTGGTAGCAGAATTTCCTAATATTTTAAGGCTTAATAGTATTTAATTGTATTAATATACCATATTGTCTTTATCCATTCACCTGTGGATGGACATTTACGTTGCTTTTAATTCTTGGCTATCACGAATAATGCTGCAGTTTCAAAATATCACTTTTAGATCCTATTTTTGGCCAGGTGCGATGGCTTACGCCTGTAATCCCAGCACTTAGAGACCTAGGCAGGCGGATCACGAGGTCAGGAATTCAAGACCAGCCTGACCAACAAGGTGAAACCCCATCTCTACTAAAAACACAAAAATTAGCCAGGCATGGTGGCGTATGCTTGTAATCCAAGCTACTGAGGAGGCAGAGGCAGGAAAATCACTTGAACCCAGGAGGCGGAGGTTGCAGTGAGCCGAGATTGCACCACTGCACTCTAGCCTGGGCAACAGAGCAAGACTCCATCTCAAAGAAAAAAAAAATCCTGTTTTCAGCTCTTTTAGATACACATGCAGAAGTAAGATTACTGGATCATTGGTGATTCTATTTTTAATTTTTTCAAGAAACCCCATGCTACTTTCCATAATGGCTGCACAATTTTACATTCTCACAAATGTTCCAATTTTTCCACATTTATGCCAGCACTTGTTATTTTTTGGCATTTGTTTTTATTGACCATTCTAATGGGTGTCCAGTGATACTTCATTGTGGTTTTATCTTGCATTTTCCTGATGATTAGTAATGTTGAGCATTTTTTAATACATCCTTTCGTCATTTGTGTATCTTCATGAAGGAAATGTCTATTTCACTCCTTCACCCACATTTTAATCAGATTAATATTGTCATTGTTGAGATTTAGGTGTTCTTTATATATTCTGGACATTAACCTCTTATCAGATATATCAGACATATGATTTGCAAATATTTTCTCCTGTTCTACATGTTGCCTTCATTTTTAATTTTATAGGATATTATACTTTAGGAAGCATGATAATAAGCTTTTTCCCGAGCTTTTGTATGTTGCCCAAAGAAAGTATAATCTAGTATCAATGTAATAAACAAAATCTGAAAACTTTACTTATCACTGCTACTCACAAACTGTGAGACTTTAGAAAAGTTAAACTTGGTGAGTTTCTTTATTTACAAAGCAAAGAATTTGGGTAGAAATGTATTTGTAGCCAAACAGCTCTGTGTGTCGGTTATAACCCTAGGCCTTGGTGAGCTCCTTGGCATTGGAATGCTTATAGGCTAGATGTGGAAGAAACATAAATAAATAGATAAATAATTCTGAAATAGTTACCAAAGTAAATGTGCTTACTTTTCCAAAGAAATTGATATTAGGGGGCTGTTGCTTTCTGTGGATGGCAGTTTACAATAAAAGCCTGCATAACGGGGAGTACCAAGCTTCCTGGCTTAGCAAAGTGACAGTTGCACTACAACAAAATATCATGTTCAATATTGTGATGTCTCTCCCCGGTAAGCAAAGCCAGCTAGGATGAAGTCAGGGTGGTTGTCTAGCGTCCAGTGCCTGAGGACAGTTTCATATCCAGAGAAGAAAAATAAGAGCCGCAGACGTGCTGTGGGAATTTGATGTAGTTACATTGCCTCTCTTAATCTCAGTTACCTCACCTTTAAATTCAAAGGGTTGGTGTGGTTGGATATTATTTGGCAAAAGAAAGGTAAACAACAACAACAAAAAAACCAGAATGACTTGCACATGAGCCTAATTTGTTATACCAAGTGACAGAAGCCACACTCAAATGACGAAGCATTGAAAGATTCCGTTATCGAAAATATCCAGAATAGGCACATCCATAGAGAGAGAAGGTAGATTAGTGGTTATCGGGGCTGGGTGTGGAAACAAAGATTGTCAGCAAATACACACATGGAATCTCTGGGGTTGATTGAAAGGTTCTAAAACTTAACTAGGGTGATGATTGTAGAACTCTTTATATTTACTAAAAATTATTGAATGAGACAAATAAAACTGTGGATTTTATGACATGTCAATTCAAATTCAACAAAACTGATAGAAAAAATATATTAAAAAATATATATTAAAAAAAAAACCCTTGAACATGTAGGGATAAACTCTCAAAGGCTTTTCTCAGGTCACAGGTATTCTGATTCTGTGATCTCAAGTATGATTTTTGTAAATTTTATTTTCTGTATTTTCTTTAACTTTTCAATTAAATTTATATATTCTTTTTCTAAGGGCCTGGCCCCCACAAAGATGTTTATATTGCTTTTCTGTTGAAAGATGTGCCAAACCTTTACGCACTTTATATTGCTTTCATATCCAGCTCTAAAGAAGCTCTCAATAGTCATCACACTATATGCCACACAGTTCATTCTGAAGTTTGGCCAAAGAAGCATTGTTGTTAGATATACAGAATTTAACTCGAACCAATCATTTCCAATGCTCTACGTAACACAACTCTTGAAATTTTGGCAGATTTACCCTTCTAAAATGACTTATATGCATCTACACCTTTTAAGAAACCTGGGATAATTTAACCATTCCTACTTTGCTATTCTAAACAGAAAGGATTCTGCTCTATTTCACAATAATCAGCTTCCTCTAGGGAACAAACAGTGAGAAACATGAATTATTAGTGTCCTTAGCAGAAGTTATTTTGCCTGTTAAAAATAAACATATGCATCTTAGTTAACATCATCCTCTTATTCAGATTATTAACACTTCTTGTCAGATCAGCCATAAAGGAAAAAAAATATGTAAAAAGCTAATGGGTGGATTTTACAGTAAACTGCATGTACACACACACACACACACACACACACGTTGTTTGTCCCCCAAATGTGCCTTTCATTTATTCAATAATGTTGAAATCCCATGTATCTGTAGTAAGTCATAAGATATAAAAATGAACATAACCTTGGCGGAATATATATTGACTTCAGGTTTCTTCCTTTCTCCCTCTTTTCTTTCGTTGCTTCCTTCATTCTTTCTGTATGTAAAGAACTGTAAACTCCGTGAGGTGAGGGATGGGGTAGGATCTTACTTTCCATCATTTTCCCAGCAGTTATCCACAAGCCTTGCTCAAAAGATATTATGAGTGAATGAGTGAGAGAGTGAGCAGTTTACCCTAACCTGTTCACAGTAATGGATTCCAAGAAATAAAACTGTGTCTATCCCAGCACTTTGGGAGGCCAAGGTGGGCGGATAACCTGAAGTCAGGGGTTCGAGAGCAGCCTGACTAACATGGTGAAACCCCGTCTCTACTAAAAATACAAAAAAATTAGCCAGGCGTCGTGGCATGCACCTGTAATCCCCGCTACTTGGGAGGCTGAGGAAGGAGAATCGCTTAAACTTGGGAGACGGAGGTTGCAGTGAGCCAAGATCGTGCCATTGCACTCCACCTTGGGCAACAAGAGCGAAACTGCGTCTCAAAAAACAAACAAACAAAAAAACTGTGTCTACGTTACATCTGGTCTCTGTTATTACATGTCATAGTGAGGGAGACAAATATTAAACAAATAATTATGCAGGTGAAGATCGCAAAAGAGAGTAAATAAAACAGGTGTCTACTCTCCTCAGTTACTGTTTATAGTTTATACCAGTGATTCTCATTCGGAGTATTAGAAACTTATTAGAAACTGTGAGGAATTTATAAGAAAAATACCAAGGACTTACATGTGGGTAAATTCAAAATCACTAGAAAGCTGTCTAGGGCATTGGTATACATTTTAAAGTATATTTTCAGATAATTATAATAGGCAGAAAATCTGATTTATAAATTGATGATAATGTAGTCTGGACATGGGTGCAGACATCTCTGCTCTCCTACAAACTCAGATAGGCTGCTAACCTGCTGGTTTACTCTACACAGGTAGGAACCTGACTCTTTGCATGCCAAACTTCCCTGCCCCCTCCTACAGACCTTTCACGTGGTCCTCAATATAAAGCTTTAATGAACGAGCATATAACTTAGCAAATAATGCTACCATCTGCCTAGTCTTCAAAGTTATAAAGAAATGTCTCTGATTTCTCTCTGTCTATATTGATTTGCATAATGCTTTTAATCCCACCATATTTATTTTTCAAGTCATTTTTCACAATCTCAATAGCTATGGTGAGACTCCATAATCTATGACCTAGTGATTGTATTGGTGTCCTAAATATTGTTTTTCCCCTCTATAATTTATTCCACTTGCTCCTAGAACAAAGTTATCTTCCTACAATACATATCATGTTATTCTCTGAGAAAAACAGTGAGTAAAGAAAAATTCCTTCAGAATAGTCAATTGTAAAAATTTTAGATTAAGATTTCAAAGACATTTTCTTACATAATTAGAACCTAACACGTGCTTTCAGTCTCTTCCTTCTCAACTTCCTTCTTCTCTGCCTGCCTCTGTCCTCTATGTCATTTGTCTTCATCAAATCTGTTTATTTTTAATTTATTTTAATATACCAAGTAAACATTGTATATTTTTATGGTGGACAACATGATGTTTTATGTATTTACACATTGTGGAATGAGTAACTCAAGCTATGTAACATATGTATTACCTTACATAGTTTTTTTTTGTGGTGAAAATAGTTAAAATATACTCTTAGCAATTTTCAATCGTACAATATATTATTATTATTATTAACTATATTCACCATGATATACAATAGGTCTCTTGAACTTATTTTTCCTAACTGAACTTTTATATACTTTGACAAACATTTCTCCACTCATCCCACCGCTCAGCCTCTAGTTATCACCAGTTCACTCTGTTTCTATGAGTTCTACTTTCTTAGATTCCATACAGAAGTGATACCATGTAAAATGTGTCTTTCTGTGCCTGGCTTACTTCATTTAAAGTAATGTCCTCCAGGTTCATCCATGTTATCACAAATGACGGAATTTCATTCCTTGTTAAAGGTGAATAGCATCCCACCATGTATATATTCCACAATTTTTTTATCCATTCATTCACTGATGGACACTTAAGGTTGATTTCATTTCTTTGCTATAATGGATAATGCAAAAATGAACATGAGAGTGCAGACATCTCTTCAAGATAATAGATTTCATTTCCTTTGCATATATACACTCTGTAAGGAGACTGCTGGATTATATGGTAGTTCTGGTTTTAATTTTTCAAGGATATTACATATTGTTTTCCAGAATAAGAATGGCTATATTAATTTACATTTCCTTCGATAGGGTACAAAGGTTTCCTTTCTTCTATGTCCTCACCAACATACCTCAATCAACATATCTGATTTTTAAACCTCCCTTGACTTGCATATGCTATGATTCTGACCTGAAATCCCTTTCTGCCCTATTTCACTGAAACACTTCATTACCTAGCCAGACACATGCCTATAATCCTTCAAGGAATGTAAACTAATTTATAAACTCATACGGTTTTTCTGTTTCTTGGAGATTTTTAAAGCATGACGCTGGTTTTAGTAGAGGAAATCAGTCAGTTTCAGACCTTCCAATCCTAATTATGTGACCAAAAGTAAAACTTATATTAAGAAATAAATTTCCTTTACACCTTATATCTTTTTCTTTGACATCACCAAGAGATTGAGTCATTGATTACTTACAAGTGAGTATCATAAAAGTTATGGATATTGAAGATGGCTGCTTCTTACAAACCAAAATTCTGGAACAACATCACAAACATAGCTTACAAACAGTTATCTATGCCATAGAATATGGTAATTTTTAAGTGTATATACAGTGTAATCTGTGGAAAAAGTTCATAGGTGTATATCTTGCAGTGGAACTGTCTAAGGCATTTGAAACAGAGCAACTCCATCTTGAGTAGGGGCTGGATAAAGTGAGGCTGAGACCTACTGGGCTGCATTCTCAGATGGTTAAGGCATTGTAAGTCCAAGGATGAGAATGGAGGTTGGCACAAGATACAAGTCATAAAGACCTTACTGATAAAACAGGTCACAATAAAGCAGCCAGCTAAAACCCACCAAAATCAAGATGGTGACAAGAGTGACCTCTGGTTGTCCTCACTGCTACATTCCCACCAGCGCCATGACAGTTTACAAATGCCGTGGCAATGTCAGGAAGTTACCCTATGTGGTCTAAAACGGGGAGGCATGAATAATTCAGTCCTTGTTTACCATATCCTCAAGAAAATGACCATAAAAATGTGCAACCAGCAGTCCTTGGGCTACTCCGTGGAGTAGCAATTCTTTTATTCCTTTACTTTCTTAATAAACTTGCTTTCACTTTACTGTGTGGAATTGCCCTGAATTCTTTCTTGTACAATATCCAAGAACCCTCTCTTGGGGTCTGGATCCAGATCCCCTTCCAGTAACAGAGATGTTCTTATGAAAGATTATTATCTCAAATATTCGTACTCATGCGTCTTTGTAAGATGCTATTCTTCAATACGTTTCCAATAATTGTGACTGAAGAATATATACTATGTAATTATCATAGACCATTTACTAATGTAGCTAGAACTGGAGATTTTTGGTACCTGATTTATAACTTAAGGAGCCACTGAAACTTTTAATAACCAGGAAATCCACATATTATAAGCAACAGTCACTGTGAAAAGTCTGGGAGATAAGTGGTAGAAATGTGGTTTCCTCACATAATAAAGCAGATTATTAAATTTCTTAAAATAAGTAATCCCGGAAGAATGGTCATATATTGCTAACTTCATGAGTCACCCTGAAGACTCACTTCTATTTAGAGAGTGAATCTCCTGGATTAGAAGATTTGCATTTAAATGGTATTTCCCTCTCTTGCAGCTACAGGTTTCTGCATTGGATAATACTGCTTTTTCTTTGTGTAGCATGTCCATAAAGGGTCCTAATAAATCCCACCATTGTGATGAACCTTGAGTTTGTCAAAAGACTTTTAAGCTATTCTAACAGATGCATTTGAAATAGGGTTTTCTGTATTTCCTTTTGGGAGTTTTTAAGGATGTTTAGGATAATTAGCTATTTCCCTACAGGCCATCTTTATAATTAAAAACATAAAATGCCACCCATCTTCTTAGTGAATTAAACAAAACACGCATTTGAAATCTAGCCACTAATTTCAATAGCAAAATAGGCAATAGTTTAACAATTATAAAAATACTCTTCCTAATATTGTAAGCCTTTTAGTACAAAGTATTTGAGAAGTTAAGTAAATAATGAACTAAAGGGAACATTATCAAGAATTGTGGTGTTGAAGGATTCTCGTTTAACACCACAGAACTCAGATTATTCGGTATAATATCTCCATTTTAGAAATGACTTGTCTGATGGCAAAAAGGAAGAATCATAGTTAGAATAATGTAAAGGATGTGGTAACATTTGTGGTGGGTTGTAGATATTTTGTCAATATTAAATGTTTTCTAGAACTGTCACAGACTTAGTTCAATGTGTTATTCATTACAACAAAAGACACATGTAATGGAAATGCCTATTTGAGGTGGTTGAGAGAGAGAGGTAGAAAAACTCTGTACACATTTAAGCCCCTTTTACAAAAATTATGACAGAAAAATCTGACCTAGGAAAATTATGAAAGTGAAAGAAATGTGACCTAACTGATTCAATCTTGCTTCTAACCTCCAAGCTGTCCTTGTTCATTCTTGGGCATAGGCCAAGCTAATTATGGGAGGAAGTTACTTTGTACTTTAACTTTGAAATAAAAATGATAACAGCCCCTCTCCCAAACTAACTCCCTCCTTGCTTGGGGATCAGACTGCCTTTGTAAAACAAACAGATTAACCACAACATTAGAAATTATGTCTTGGAGGTCAAGCAGCCAGAGGCCACGAGAATCCTAACTTCCCCAGTTGCTCCTGTAGATAACATTATTGTTGTAAAATCTATCATTGGTGTTTGAGGTATTTTCAGACCCTTCATTCTCATGGACTAGCTGGTACCACCCAGACCAGTTAACTGGCTCCACCGGTCTTCTGGCCCCAACCCAGGAACTGACTCAGCCAAAAAAGAAAAGCTCCGAGTCCCTCTGATTTCATCCCCAAGCCACCCAATCTTTTGTAGACCATTCTACACTTCCCATTCTCTAGGCCCTTGCCTACCAAACTACCATTAAAAAGACCTAGCCTGTGAATTTCTGGGGAGCCTGACTTGAGTAATAATGGAACTCCAATCTCCCATGTAGCCTGCTCTGTACTTATTAAACTATTTCTTTATTGCAATAAGAGTGTCTCAGTACATGGGCTTTTCTGGCTGGTGAGTAAAATAAGTCCATTGGGCAATTACACATATCATATCTCCATAGTCTACGTGTGTGCATGTGTGTAGCATAAACCACTCTTGAAATACACAAAAGTAGACTTGAGCCAATGGAACGATATGTCCCTTGCTCTTAGTTTAAATGTCTTGAAACATCACAATTTTAGTTTTCCCTAATTTGGTTTAATTTATAATTTTATTTTGATTCCATTAAAAATACAATCAATATTTTTTTTTCTTTAGAGTAGTAAGTTGATACTATACCACACTTAGAAGAAATAAGCACACAAAAACTTTTAGAAAAAACCTGCACAGAATAATTAAGGACGGATCCTGTCACATATTAAAATCTGCTTGATAACTTCTTCAAAATAAAATTAAATTAAAAAGATGTAGTATTTTCACAAAAGCAGACAAAAGAGTGAAACAGAATACCATCCAGAAGAATACATAACGGAGTACAAAATCCAGCATAGCTAAATATCTCAAAGCACTGACTCAAAGTGGAACTTTTAAAAATAGTGCTGGAGAAACAAGAGAGCAATTAGAAAAATGATTAAATTCAATCGATTCCTCACATTATACACAAGAAAAAACCCTAAATGAATCAGAGACCTAAGAGGAGGAGGGGAAGTTGGCAGGGAAGGAAGGAGCAGCAGAGGGCAAAATTCTTTAATAACTTGGGAAAAATGAAGAGAATGACAAGGACAAAATAACCTTCATATATAAAGAACAGTTAAATATTAAGAAACCAATAGCTCACAAATCATATAGAAAAGTGGGCCAATAACACAAACAAGTCTCAAATAAAGATATTAAAATAAGCATTGAACATATGAATAGATAAGATATCACATGTAATAAGAGAAATGCAAATTAAAACATTGATATATTGCATCTCACCCATTGGATTGGCCAGACTCCAAAAGCTTGACAATGTACTGTCTTGTTTAGAATATAGAGAACCTGCGCTGTTCTCCCACATGTTTCACATGCAAAATGGTAAAACACTTATAGGAAGAGTTTGCCAACATTTAACAAAGCTATATGTTCATTTGTCCTTTGCCCAAGCAATCGAATGTCTAAGAATTTATTCTGAAGAAACACTTGCAGCAATATAAAAAAATTGTACAATGTACAAAGTTATTATCTGCAGTATTATATGTGAGTGCAACACATTGAAAATAACCTAAATGCCCAAACATAAGAAATTTCTTGAACAAATTATTTCTATACATCATGTACTGTACACCATGTAGTACAGTGCTGCCTTGAAACTAATGAGAATGTCTATTTACTAATAGAAAGTGATTTCTAAAATGTGTTGTTCAATTGAGAAGGAAAAGTGCCCAAAATTATATATTGTATGCTGCTTTTTGTTTATAAGAGAGGGAAAAAAGTAAAAAATAATGAGGAAAAAGTCCTCCTTAAAAAACGAAATTTAAAAAAACTTTCACTTTTCTTAGTATGCTTAATTTTTGTAATTTTGGGGGTATAGAAATTTGGAAACTCCTTCAAGTACTGTACAATTGAACTAATGAGCTAAAGCATTGTTGTTAAAAGCTGTGGTTTACCAAAGAAGAAAATATCTGTGTCTACAAATATATATAATCATGATTGTGTGTGTGTATATTATATGTGTTTATATTATCTATGTTGCATTTTTTTCCTATTCACTGAAGTGGCTTAGAAACGACCCTAATTCTGGTAGTAATGAGCAAATCTAGTTTTCAGAATTTGGTTTCTAAGATTTCAGAATTTGGTTTCTACTCACTACCAAAAGAAACCAGAAATCCTCAAGACATAATAGATTGTGGACCGAGGACAACGAAATTGCAAAATGAGCCTGGGACATCTAGTTATGCCAGCGGATCCAGAAATGATGGGGACATAACAAAAAGACACAAGAGATGCCTCGAAGGGGCCTCTGTAGCCAAATCTGAATAATTTTGTCATCAAAATAGATAAAGACGGTGACGGATTATAACCTCTTAAATAAAAGGGGAATGTGTGATTTTGCTTTGACAATAAGCAGATAGATATAAAGATTGACAGATAAATTGTATATAAGAAAGGAAACAATGAAAAAGAGAGAACACATTCTGACAGTGGCATTTCAACTCTTCAAGGTGATGAGAGAGGAGGAGGTGGAAAATTGCTACTCTGCAATTCTCATGGTTAAAATTGTTCCAGGTAATTGTCATGGGGAGTGAGGGTTGATGATACCAGTGTGGCCTCATCTCAAAAAGTTTCCCTGGAGACTGCTTATTATGTGGAAAGTCAAATATAGTTGTATGCAGTGGAGAAGCCTGACAATGAGTTGAGGATTATGATAAATGTTGCTTTGAGTGACAGCCAGATACCATCTACTCCTGAATGTGTGTGATACATGAGAAAGGATTCTGGCTCATTTGAACCATAAGATGGCAAGGGATCCACAACTTGAATCTCATCTCTAGAAGCACCAGACAGCTCCAAAACTGAGGAACAGTCTGTAAGATAATCGACCTGTAGTTTTCAAAGTGTCAGTGTCATGAATGGTGCAGTAATGCTGAGAATCACTTCCAGATAAAAGAAGTGTAAAGATACTACACAGCTAAATGCAAAACATGTCCCTAAACTATATGCTGTATCAGAGGGGCAATGCTATAATAAAACATTATTGGAACAATATGTATCTAGCAAAAAAGTGGAAATGTACAGACTGTTGTGTCAAAATTAAGAATGAAGTAGTGTCCTTTGCATCACCTGGACCTGATGTAATATGTGCAGTTGACCTAATAAGTGATATTCACACAATGGAGAAACATGTAAACATAATTTCTGTTAATCAAATGCTTGCCAGGAGCCATGCTAGGCACTTCACAACTATCATTCCAGATAATCTTTATGATAGACTTAAGATATAGATACTACGGGGAAACCGAAATGTATAAATAATGTATCCAAGTGCCTGAAGTTCTTTCAAAACATCTTACTTTAGATAATTAAAGAAATTTTTAATTTCTAGTTTTATACTGATGACTAATTTTCTCCTAATGAATGTTAAAACCCAATGTTTTCATGGGGTATTAGAAAATTGCTTTAGAAAATTGGTCAATAGCTTATATCTGACTCATTTGAAACTACCTTTTTTATGTTTCTTATTGTTGCTAAAATATTTCTCACTGTACCAAAAAAAAAGAAATCATTTCAATAAATGCATACTTACACAACAGGAATTCTCTTGAACTCCTGATGTGAAACACGACACATACACAACTTTGTAGACAAAATAATTTTAAAAAGCATATTTATAAAAATAAGAGACAAAGTCAATTTTTGATATAGTTTGTAATACTGATAGAAAAGACTTACAAAATGTGTATTTTAAATATGAATAAAGCATATATCTTTATTTGATTGGAAAAGTAACCACCTATCACATTTTGAAAATTGAGTGCATTATAATGCTCTTTACATGCAGGGAGATTTCAAATCTGGTTTAATTTCCGATAGAGTATCTAATTTGAAAAAATTAAGCAATTATAGTTTATAGAGTCCAAATCATTCATTTTTAAAGTTGTAAACTCACTTCTTTTGACGTTCCTGTCAACCTCTAGGTGAAATGTTCCAAAAGTTTACCTAGTGATTTTCCCATTAAAATACAAATCAGTTTTCCTAAATGACAAATATGAAATTAAAACCCTCATACAAAGTGGAGACATGCCTTAATGACCGCAAATTTAAATCCATTCCTATTAAGATCTGAGTTATGGGATTCTATCATGAATAGGAGGAAGTTTGCCAAAGTGGTTTCTCACACTCTCTCATACTTGATAATGTGATGTTGACTGTTCAAGAAAGTATTTCCAATGGGAACAGATTTTAATTGATAACACTAACAAATTGCTAATAAATAGACATCAGATTAATTATGTGACATATTTTTAAATTGTGTGCATATGCTCAGAACTTTGACAAACAACAAATAATTTGGCACTGAAATATCCTATTTCTGTGACGAAAGGAACCTGAGATTTTGGATATGGGTGGCATTAATAATAACAATTTACTGTGGTAACTTGTACCTGTATGGTATGAACGTATTGTGTAGTATTCTTTAAAAGCTCAATTATTGTAATATGGTAGTCTGGATTGGATTCTGGAACAGAAAAGACACTGTTAGAAAACTTGTGATATCCAAAGAAAGTCTAGACTTTAGTTAATAATAATGTGTCAATGTTTTTATAGCCAGAACACTTGTGACTGATAATTTCTGATACTCAGCTCAGACTTCTAGGAAAATAGAGGTATTATTGACTTTATATCAATGGGAAAACCAGATATGGTTTGGTACAAGTTTCCTTTCTTCCTTCCTTTTTCTCTCTCTCTCCTTTTCATATCTCTTTGACTCTCTAATGTTTATATTCCGAAAAGAAACTGTCTGCATTTGACTAAGACTGCCACTGTCAGCTCCAACTTCAATACTTCTCCATGTAACATTCCAAGAAAAAAAAGAACCTTTTCCCTTCTACAGTATCTATGTATTAAAATTGCTAAGGTATTAAAACCTGTTTTGGTTACTTACACATTCTTAAAATGATAGTAATCAAATGAAAGACTGTTCATTTTTGAACAATCCAAGTCGTGTAAGCAAAGTAGTACCAAGTTAAACTATAGGAAAAAATATGTTTTCTTGGGAAAACAAAATCTAAACAAGCACATAACCAACACATCTGATTTCAAACATGAGATCTTCACCCTGCTTCCACAGTATCCTATATATTCCTCAATCAAATTATTCTGAATCATTACAAGTCTGCCTTCTTTACATTACTGGTGACTTAAGAAATAATGCATGATCATCTTTCTATCTCCATGTTTACCTGATGTTTGTAACTACAAAATTCTTGAACAGAATTTCATCAAGAAATTCAAAGACAAAGAAACAGAAAGACAAAGAAATCAATCTGAGGCAAGTAAGGGAAATTTGGAGTTAGGTATGTGACATGGTGATGCTCATTTTTACTTGCAATATGTGATACTTGGTCTTTGTCTTAGTTCCTGGATGCTAGATTTTTTTCTATATTAAAAAATGATTTTATAGATACTTTCCAACAAATATAGGGTCTAAAGTAATTGGGCTCTATAGTAATTTTTTAGGGATAACACTACAGGAAAACTTTCCTTTTACCCATTTTTATCACCTTCTACAAACACACACACACACACACACACACACACACACACACAGTCTTTGTCATCAAATAAATATTTAGCCTGGTATTGATCTGGTTCCAGGAAAGCCATTGATTGATAGATTGACTTGACTGTATAAAGGCCACTTTGGGTTCTGCTCTAGACCTATTTTTGCTTGTGTGTTTGTTTGTTTCCTTTGGGGAGACTAACTAACTTTTATCTTTGGTAACATTTTCTCCTTCTACACTATTATTTTCCTCCAGGGCTCCCTCTTCAAAACCCATTGAGGATATGCCCCATAGATCTTGGCTTTTTTTTTTAAGATGAAATGTTTTAAGTAAGGCTTCACAAAAGTACTGGAAGAAGGCTGTATAACTTCTCATTAATATAATCAGTGTGTTGAATGTCTGCAGTAATTATATTTGTCATCCAACAGGATTGATGACTGCATTACAGAGGCATCTGTGAAGTTCCAACTTCTGGTCCTTTCTCCTGAGAGAAATAATCAGAGGCAATACCTCACACACAAGAGACAATGCTTTCTGCCATGTGGCTCTATGAGCATGGCTTCAATTCAGTGGACCATGTTTTATAATGTAACTAAGGCAGAAGGTGGGGCAAACAGATTGTAAGCTTACAAGGTGACTTGTACACCAAGTCTGCCTGCAAGGACTCTTTTATGGGAAACATGAGAAATTCAATGAAAAATATTTATTTATTTATTTATTTTCCCTGAAGCATTCTGTATTTTGGAGTCATAAAAAGAAGAAAAATACAGCAAGAGAAAGAGTCAATAATAGAAAGGCATGTAAATATAAACTGATTTACAAAAACAATAATGAAAGGCTAACATTTATTGAGTGCAAACTATGTTGCTTTCAATAGACCAATAATTTCAAATGTATCTTTTCATTTAATACTCTAAATAAACCTCTGAGTTATTATTATTTTCACTATTAGATGAGAAAATTGAGTTTCAAAAACAGAGTAACTTACTTCATTTTACAGATCTAGACAGTGGTAAAGGTAAGGTTGAAACCTGGTAGTATGATCTAAAATATTTATTCTTGTTTTTTTCAAATTTATTTATTTTTGTTTTTTAAGTTTCAGGGTACATGTGCAGGATGTGCAGGCTTGTTACATAGGTAAACGTGTGCCATGATGGTTTGCTGCACCTATCAACCCATCACCAAGGTATTAAGCCCAGCATGTAGCAGCTCTTTCCCTAATGCTCTCCCCGTACCACTCTCCCCTGACTGGCCCCAGTAAGAGTTGTTACCCTCCGTTTGTCCATGTGTTCTCATTGTTCAGCCCCCACTCATAAGTGAGAGCATGCAATGATTGGCTTGCTGTTCCTGCATTAGTATGTTGAGGATAATACATTCCAGCCTTATCTATGTCCCTGCAAAGGACATGATCTCATTCCTTTTTATGGCTGCATAGCATACTGTGGTGTATATGTACCACATTTTCTTTAGCCAATCTATTATTGACTGATTGGGCTGGTTCCATGTCTTTGCTCTTGGGAACAGTGCTGCAATGAACATATGCGTGCACGTATCTTTATAATAGAATGATTTATATTCCTTTGAGTACATACTCAGTGATGGGATTGCTGGGTCAAATGGTATTTTCAGTTCTAAATCTTTGAGGAATCACCACACTATCTTCCACAATGGTTGAACTAATTTACATTTCCACTAATAGTATAAAAGCGTTTCTATTCATCCGCAACCTCGCCAGCATCTGTTGTTTCTTGACTTTTTAATAACTGCCATTCTGACTGGCATGAGATGGTATCTCACTGTGGTTTTGATTTGTATTTCTCTAATGATCAGTGATGTTGAGCTATTTTTGTATGTTTGTTGGCCGCATGTATGTCTTTTTTTGAGAAATGCTCATATCCTTTGCCCACTTTTTAATGTTTTTTTTTTTTTCTTGTGAGTTTGCTTAAATTCCTGTCTATTCTTAAAGTTTTCAGTGTTGGAGCAAACTGCACATACTCCTGAGGTCACTAGAGACTCTGTGGAATCCTTGGAGGAATACCACATGGGATAAATTCCAAGGTCTCCATGATCCCACACTCTGTGCTTTCTTTTCTTGTTATTCCTTTACTTCCTCAATGGCCTGACAATCAGGTTGACCACATCTCAGCAGACATATGTTTTTAAGAGCCTACAACATATAGTGCTAATTTCAGTAATATCACTTCTCTTTTAAGTCCTGTAGATCATTTTTGTTAATGAAATTCTGCAAGGTAGAGGTGGTAAGGGTAAGTTTTCATTTTGGTTTAAATTCATGCTGTTTTCCTATTAGGCTATTTCTATATTAAAAATACATCCTCCTTGCTGGTTCCTTCCTGCACGGTGTCTATGTTTGAGGATAAAATAAGTGAAACAAAGGAATAACAGTAGGCATGATAATCATCAAGACATATGTGCGTACACAGAGCAGCTAATTCATTCGTGAAACTCGTGATAGCTACTATTTATCAATGTGCTAATCACGAGAATAAACTAATCTGTTTTGTCTTGGTGTCATCAAATCCAGAATTCAAAGGCAGAAAAGGGAAGATTTATAGTTAGGAAAAAAAAATATGAGAGAGGAGCAGTGACACAGAGCATATACCTCTCATAGAGGATGGTCAATGTGATTTATATGATAATCAAAAGGAATGTGTGTCAGTTTATTGAATGTTATCTACAAAAATCTTTGACACCTTTGACAACCCAAAGAGTATGAGCTTCAAACACTGTGTTAATGACTTTGGTGACACACACCATAATAGATCAGCTGACAAAATTCTGAAAATTCAGTTGATATTTGTAAAGAGAATTTTTATTGTCATTTGGGAAATCAAATCATTTTATTTGAATACTTCTGAAAGCTGAGATGTGAAAAGGAAAATATCAGTGGTTGTTAACAGTATGGCTTTTGAATCAGAATCATTAACCAAATAGATTTCTGAAAGAATTGGGGATAAACGCCATTGCAATAGCACATCAGTTCAGATGGGTGTTTAGATTAAAGAAAAGAAAGGAGAGATTGACTGATGATTGAAGGTTCAAGCTAAAAAATATTGACTTCAGACTTTTAAGTAAATGAACACTAATGGGAAGACATAGGGAAAGAACCCTTTATGGGATCCAAATTCTTAGCACATTCTTTCTCTTGGTGAAGTTGAACTGAACTCTGAGCTCATATTGAATCCCCAGGAGCTTCAAGAGAGTTCAGAAGAGCCCAACAGGGGGCAAAGCAAGATCTGATCTTGTCCTTTTACTGCTTTCAGTGTTCAGTGTCTCAGAAGTCAGTGGGGATACTCAGTGTGAAGAAACGTTGTGGGAGCAATGAATAAGGAGAGGCATCTGTATCTTTTTTGCCCTCTGTGGCAGAACAAACCCCCATTTAATGAATGAGCTAATATATCATTTGAAGTTCATTATTAGAAACCATTGTGTAAGCAGATTATTAGCAACTTAAAGTGTGTAACTTTTTGATAACCCCCTAAAGTGCTCATTTTTTAACCCTGTTTTGAAATAGATGAACCTAGCTATAAAACCAAATTGCTCATTTTTTAGTTGTGAGATCGTGCAACTTACCAACTCTGATATCAGTGCAGTCCTCTATAAAACAGGAATAGTAGTACCTATCTCATAAGTGATACGTGAGTATGAAATGTAATAACATACTTGTAGCGCTTACATTGGTATCCGAACTTGACACTTAACAAAGGCTAGGTGCTTTCCTGCTTTGATTCTATTGGACGTTTCTGATACTGACAAGACTAAAATATGACTCATTTTTAACATCAGATGGGTAAAATAACTCTAACTTTGATTTACTTGATTATTTTGATGACTAATTTTAAACCAAATAGCCAAATAGTGACTATATTGCTAAGATTTTCAGAAAAATAAAATGGAGATATCTAAGAACATAGCTTAATATTACTAAAATTTGTCAGTGTGCTCGTGTGTGGACATTTTAGGAAAGATTCCAGGAACTGATATTTCATTTTTCTACATTCAAACTCCTTTTTGTAATCTCTATATTTTTGAGGACCTATAGTCAAATGTCTATGGATTAATTCACATGATAACTATCAATTAATACTTTTGTTGTTTGAGGTGGATGACGGTACCGTGTTAGTCTGGCTTATTTAGAAATTGGAATTGGAGAAAATTTTACAGTGATGACAGTGTATTGATAAGATTAAAAACCAGGACAGTAATGATGATGAGAATGAAAACCGAGTCAAGGAAAGCTATGAAGCTGAGAGCTTCAAGAAGACACAGCCATTGTATTACTGAAGGTGCTTACGTGATCTGCAGAACTTTATCTCAAAGGACTACCAAAAAAAAAAAAAAACGCACCTTAGAGTGATCCAAAAAAAAGATAAATGAGCAGGAATCTACCTACATGCCCCCATCGCACCTGCCACTTACTACTGTCCAAGATTTGCTCTGTTGTGTCATATGCCCTTTGGTTGACACTCATGAAGACTTGTGGACATATGTGTAAGTCCCAAAAAAGGTAAATAAATAAAAAGTAAAACGAACAAACAAACAAAAAATAGTTAATTATCTATTAATATAACTTGACCTTTGGGGCCCCGAGTTTGAACTTATACTCACCTACAGCATTCAGAGGTTCCCAAACTTTCTCAGTTTTAATGCCCTTTGTCAGAAATCTCTTGGTGCCCCTATGCCAAAAGAAATACATAAAAATTCAGATTACTGCAGAGTTAGGCTCAAATAACCTAATAAGTACTGTACTTTTGTCCTAAGGACTTGATGGCCATTTTTTAAAAAAATGCATATGAATTGAAACAAGATATAACATTTTAATTTCATTCTTAACTAACCACAATGAACTGCTAATGGGGTTTGTGCGCCCATTAAATGAGGTACAATTTTTCAAACCTTGGAATTTAACTATATCACCAACCTCATTTCCTATTTCATATTTATTTTTGTGGCATTCTTGTAAAGATATGATGTCATAAAAATATATAATCTAATATTTAAAGTGTGAACTACCTTGGAGGTGTACTTTGCAGGATGTCTAACAGACAGTATTGCTTAAAAATGTGAAATGCCCTTCAGAACTCCTGGGTACCCTGGAACATAAGAAACTTGAGTTTCAGAAAAGGCAAAGGAAGCAGGTAGCACCTTATGAAATAGGAGTTTGGATGAAGGAATGAGAAGCAGTTTAAAAAGCCTGTGTCCTATCAGAATCTTTTACACATTTTTTAATCAAAACTCTCAGAAATATCAGGTAACCAAGTAGCCAACTATATAATATTGTAGAATATTGACTCAGCTCTGTATTCTTACTCTTTGAGGAAAATCTTGATTCTAGGAAGATTATCTCAAAGTCTGAGTTTGGTAATGTATGAAATGAAACTAGTAGCTTCTAGTTTCATTTCTGGTCTCTCCATTAATTCTCTGAGAGTATTAAATGAGCTTTTCATTTAAAACATTTTGCTCATTACTTATGTCATAGCAATTGCTCAATGACTATTGTCTTGCTGTCTATGGTGGAATCCCAAAGAACCAAGGAATCTAATGAATTTCAAACATGAACCACCAATATAATCATTTCTTAGAATCTCTCCTTTGATTTTGTGTTACTCTTACCTCAGAATAGAGAGCAAGGTTTTCCTAGGTAAGAAGGTAAGAACATATTCTTGGGGTTTAAGAGAAGTTTTCCCAACATCTAAAGCAATTTGACCACAGTGTTTTGAAAATCAATTTTAAGTTTTCCAAAAAAACCCAGTTGTTTCAAATTACACATAATGGACAAGGCGCAGCAAAGAACAGACATGGTCCAGTGACCCTCAAGCTGCTATTCCTCATGTAGTTGAAAGCTACAGGTAAATCAGAATCTTTATGATATATGCCTATCAAGTTTGTCTCCCATGTTTGCTTCACTCTTTATATGTAAGTATCAGCCACTTCTCATGCTTTTGATCCTATATGTTAGATAAACTTTCACCCTTGGATTGTTAGTGTTGCTGCTTCTTGTCTTCTTGCATGGGCCATACATTGTCAGTTTTAACCTGAATATTATAAACTAGGGCACTCTTTTCCTTTTCTTTTGTCTAGTGCCCCAGTCTTAGACCATCCTGCTCCCAATTTGAATTGTTCATTTGAAAGATATGACAACATTCCACACTTACATTAAATGCACAGTGATGGACCAAAGGTGATAGATATCATCATATAATTTCATATGAAAAAAAATATAGAACAACAGTTCAAAGTTCATTTCAATTCAACAAGCCTGTCAAATGCTTAGATATGCCCAATAAGGGAAAACAAAAATGGATGCTAATCAACTAAAATAAGTGATTTGCAGTTATTAATTAATTGAAAGATAAAATACTTAGAATCTGTTACATTAAGAAGTTGCTTTATATTCATCACTAAGTCAAAAATTGCCTCATCTCACTCTTCTAAAATAAGAACTTTGTATTAGTCTCTTCTTGCATTGCTATAAAGAAATACCTGAAACTGGGTAATTTATAAAGAAAAGAGGTTTCATTGACTTCCAGTTGTCTAGGCTGTACAGGCTTCTGCTTCTGGAGAGGCCTCAGGGAACTTACAATAATGGCAGAAGGTAAAGGGGAAGCAGGTATATCTTACATGGTTGGAGTAGGAGGAAGAGAGAGGGGGGAAGTGCCACACACTTTTAAACAGCCAGATCTTTTGAGAACTTACGATCATGAGAACAGCAAGGAGGAAATCCACCCCCATGATCCAGTCATCTCCCGCCAGGTCCCTCCTCCCACACTGGGGATTACAATTCAACATGAGATTTGCGTACGAACAGAAATGCAAACCACGTCAAACTTGACCTTAAAAGATGATTGATGGACTTCTGGGCCCTGGTTTTCATGTAAGGAGCTTGAAAGTCACCACTCCATCCCAAAAATAAGTAAACAGCTGAACTAACTGAAAAATCAACAGCTCTTCTCAGATTTGTAAGAGAATTCAGGTCAAGTGGAAAACCACTCCCCCAAAAATGAAAGAGAAAGATAGACAGATATGGAAAATTTCAAGTTACTGGTGCAGAAACCCAGGAGCTGAAACTTCTAATGGAACCAATGTCAGTGTAAGAAAGACTAACCCGTAATTGATGAATTGCTGGGGGCTTGGTGTGGAAAATTCTGAGCATTAAAATCTTCAGAGGAATCTCCACACTTTTGTGAAATGTATGTCCAGGAGCTCAACCAGGCTTTCATAATAAATATTGAAGAAAACTTCCCTTGTGCTTCTGGCCAAGGAAGAAGAAAATAAACTATTTTGAAATAAGCCAGATCACTCTGTTCTTAATAAGGTCTGCCCTCAAGAGAAACTATTTTACCAGAGTCCACAGTGCTGGGGTTTTATCAGATTCTAACTGGCTTGGTGGAAGGGAAACTCCCAACTCCAGCTCACACTAGTCATCATGTCCAACTGACAGTGTTTGGATGTTTGTCCTTCCAAATCTCATGTTGAAATGTAATCCCCAATGTTAGAGGTCAGGCCCAGTGGGAGGTGTTTGGGCAATGGGAGTAAATGTCTCTTGAATGGTTTGGTGCCCTCCCTGCAGTACTGAGGTCATGTGAGAGGTGATTGTTTTAAACAGCCTGACACCTCTGCTTCTCTCTCTTGCTCCCACTCTCGCTGTGTGACACATTGGTTTTCTCTCATGCTCTACCATGATTGGAAGCTTCCTAAGGCCCTCACCAGAAGGCAATGCCAGAACCATATTCCCTGTACAGCCTGTAGAACTGTGAGCCAAAATAAACCTTTTTCTTTATAAATTACCCAGTCTCAGGATTTTCTTTGTAACAATGCAAATGAACTAGCACACCACCTAAGGGGCAGAAATGGAGAATGAGAAACACATAAAAGAGTCACAGTACAGAAGAAAAGGCTCAGTAAAAGACTGAGACTTTAAAATAGTTCTACAGAATCTATATATTCCATATTCATGAATAGGAAAATGCAACACTGTTAATACATCGGTTTTTTCAAACTTGATTTTTAGGTACAATGGAATCCCAATCAACATTGCAGCAATTTTTTGTACATTAGAGTGATCATGACATTTTCATGGGGAAGCAAAAAACCTAAAGCCAAAAAGATACTGAAGGATAAGAGCAAAATTGGAGAATTGACACAGCTAGATTTTAAGACTTACTTTAAAGCTACAATAATCAAAATGGTGTGGTACTGGAAGAAGAATAGACACATAGATAAATGGAACATAATAGAGACCAGAAATAGACCCACATAAATATTTCCAGCTGATCTGTGACAAAGGAACAAATGTGATACGATGGAGAGAAGATAATCTTTTCAACAGATGCTGCTAGAACACCTAGACATCTACCTTAAAAAATGTATCTAGACCTAGAGCTAACACCCTTCATAAACATACTCAAACAAATCTCAAGATGCATTACAAACATAATTGTAGAATGCAAAACTGCAAAAGTTCTAGGAGATAACAGAAGAAAATCCAGATGGCTTTGGGCTTGATGATGACTTTAAAAATATAATTACAACTTTTATTTTAGATTCAGGGTATATATGTGCAGGTTTGTTACACGTATATTGCACAATGCTGAAGTTTGTGGTATAATTGATCCTGTCACACAAATAGTGAGCATAGAACCCAATAATTAGTGCTTCAACATTTTTTCACCTCTCTCCCTTCACTCCTTTGTATTCCCCGGTGTCTATTTTTGCCATCTTTATGTCTGTGAGTACCCAATGTTTAGCTCTCATTTATCAGTAATTACATGCAGTATTTGGTTTTCTGTTCCTGTATTAATTCACTTTGGATAATGGTCTGCAGCTGAATTGTTGTTAATGCAAAGGACATGGTTTCTTTCTTTTTATGGCTTTGAAGTATTCCATGGTGTACATGTACCACATTTTATTTATCCAATCTACAGTTGATGGGCACCTGGGCTGATTCCATGTCTTTGTTATTGTGAATAATGCTGCGATCAACATATGAGTACATTTGTCTTTTTGATGGAATGGTTTATTTTCTTTTGGATATATACCCAGTAATGGGATTCCTGGGTCGAATGTTACTTCTCTTTTAAGTTCTTTCGTGATTGATGAAAGCAGTAATTGATAAGCTGAACTTTATTAAAATTAAAAGTTTCTGCTTTGTGAGACACCAGGAAGAGAATAAAAAGGCAAGTCAAATACAGGGAGAATATATTTGCAAAAGATACATCTGATAATAGACTATTGTGAAAACAAAGTATCTTAAATGAATACAAAGAACACTTAAAATTCAACAGTAAGGAAACAACCCAAATAAAGAGTAGGTCAAAACCTGAACAAACACCTTAGCACAGAAGATACGGTCATGATAAATAAACATATAAAAAGATAATTCGCATCATACATCATCAGGGAAATGCAAATCTAAACAACACTGAGATTTCACTACATATTTGATAACAACAAATGCTGATGAGGATGTGGAGCAACAGGAACTTTTGTTTATTGATGGTGGGAATGCAAAATATTACAGACACTTTGGAGACACTTTGAGAGCTCCTTAGAAAACTAAACATAGTCTTACCAGGTGATCCAGCAATTGAGCTCCTTGATATTTACCCAAAGAAATTGAAAACATGTCTATACAAAAATATGAAAATATATCAATAGAAGGTTTATTCATAATTTCCAAAACCTGAAAGCAACTAAGATGTGTTTCAGTAGGTGACTGGATTAATAAGCTCTGGTATATCTAGACAATGGAATATTATTCTCTGCTAAAAAAAATGAGTTATCAACCCATAAAAACACATGGAGGAAATTTAAATGCATATTACTAAGTAAAAAAGAAGCCAATCTGAAAAGCCTATATACTGTATGATTCCAACCATATGACATTTTGTAAAAGACAAATATAGAGACAGTAAAAAGATTTGTGGTTGTCAGCGGTTGACAGGAGGGAGGGATGAAGGAAAGAGAGAGAAAAAAAGAGTGAGAAAGAGATAATCTAAGAATATCCCTCTTTCTTGGTGAAGCTCATTGAAAATGTTTTATTGTTGGCCACTCACGGCAGTTCAAACAGGAGCTGACAAAGAACCAGAAGTAGCCTAGCTATGTATACGGAAACTCACTGCTAATGAAACTTGGATCACTGGCAGGTGACTTAGCCAATGTATTTCTCTGAAAATATTAAAATCTCATGTTTCCTTCAATGCTGGGATCAAAGGTTAATTCCTTTAAAGTGTTCCTGGTTCTTTGTTGGAAATGTATTTTTATTCTTCTAGTCTTGATATACTCCCAGTAGTCTTACTCTAAGAAGTCCTCTCACAGAAGCGAAATGAACTGTAGGCAGATTTGTCATATTTATGTATTTGCTTTATTTCTCTAATATATTACACATTCTATTCAACTTGAAGTGGGGTGGCTTACACACTTATCTTTCTCACTAGACTTGTAAGTCTCTTTTGGCCAGGGACCATTAATTTTTTTCTTTCTTCTCGCATTTCAGGAAAATTCAGTCTCAGAAAAATATTTTTATTCTATTTGTTTGATGTGTAACAGCTTACAAAATGCTTACATGTACATGAAGTGTTTGGCATTCTCCGTTTTATAATACAGTAAGTGAAATATGTGTCGCTATTTTCATTTTATTAATGGTATAAGTGTGGCCCATGTGAACCTTTCATAATTATACTGGAAGGGTTGTGATTCACACTCATCTTTCCAGAAACTAATCCAGTATATATTTTGTTAGACCGTGTTTATCTCAGCACTCATGGTCCCAGCAGCGCCACATTACGTATGTCCTTAAATATATTCAAATATACATAGTGGGAATTTAAAGGAATCCTTAAAGTATTTCTCTGAGAAAAAAAAAATGAGTATGATGTTTTTGGATAAGAGATGAGGTCTTTAGACATGAATCCCCAGTAATAACAAAGAAGACACTGGCAAGAGGGTGAAACTGCCCTAGCTTTTCCAGTGCTCACTTTTCCTAGTTTAATTACACATGAAATATGCAAATCACAATTTGGTGAACGTATACAGATGTCACAAACAAACACAAGTGCATTTTCAAGAGCGACTTTAATTTTCCTTCTTTTCATCCTAATTGACAACATTTGTAGGAAGAGCACAGTTTGAGCAGTTAAAAAAAAAGCCGGGAAAATTAAATACAGAGACATTCTGAACTGCGTAATATGTCTCCTCTTTCATTAAGAGAATGAAACATTTTCAGTGCCCTTTATAGTTTTAATTAAGTATGTCAGTATAATACTTAATTGAGAGAAATATGCAAATTATTGTTTCTTTATAAGGCCAAAGCTAAATAAACACAGCGTTCTGCAAGTACCCATCTCATTATGTATTGATGCAGAAGTCTTGTGCAGATTAAGTTATTGCAGGCAGTTCTTTTTACCTAGAAATTTGTCCCAAACATTTTCATGTTAGTTATCTGTATAAAAATACTAGCAAATTTGATTTTTTTCAATATCAGCATGTAATATCTCTTGGAGAAATGCTGTGCCGTTCTTAAATAAAACTAATATGACTAATACCAACGGCCAGCACGTTCCCTGTCTGTGGTGTAGGTACTTTTGTCTATGAAGACTAGATCAGGCTGCTCTACCATCTCTCCTTCAGTGCCAATCCAAGCATTCTGATTTAATCTTGCAAGAGTGAATGTACCATACTGTCTAGATATTAACAACAAGCAGATGTGTGAGATACTGAGGACTAGGAAGAACTTGCTTAAACCGCTCCTTATGGTTACTGTATCTAAGTCATCACAGGCAGATAGATACACATCAAACACGCTAATGTATTTTTCTGCTTGTTCTCAGACATCTTAACACCCAATAGTTCCCCTGAGCCACATTACTAACTCCTCTTGAATATCTGCATTTCTCTGACTTTATCCTGTGTACAAGGGATAGTCTTTTATGGAGATGCCCTTTTCTTCCTCTGTGTCTTGAAATTTTAATCATCTTTTTCACTAATTTAAATATTTTTTTCTGTGAAGTTTTCCCTACTATTCTTAGGGATCATTTGTTCCTCACTCTTTATGATGTTAGCTCTTTACACATTTATTGGTGGTATCAGTTATTATAACACATTGCCATTAATTTGTAGTGCTGTCCTCGACCTCTCCACATCTGCCCCCAAATTGCGATTTCTTTATCACTCTAAACCTATTGTTATTCATCTTTTATGGCCCATTTTCCCAATCCCTTTGAAACTTAATAGGCATATTATAGATGTTAGCAATTTAAAGTTCCTTTGTGTGACACCTTTATTGCTAAGTGTCTAAGATATATTATTGATAAAGATTGCATTAGATATTGTTTTGGGGAAATATTTAAATATTCATTGGACAACATATTCAGCAGGATTAAAGTGATTCTGTAATTATGCAAATGACTAAAGAAATGTGTTTTTGACCTTACATTTTTAAAATTGTTGACGACATGTTTAAACATTACCATACTTGCCCAGCCTTTTTCTCATCAGTGAAATGCTGCATCCTATGTGAATTTAATGAGGGTTAACTGAAAGAGAAATAGAAGTTATTTACCCTCTGATTATAAAACGATATGGCTGTCTGTTTATAACCTCATGTAAAATGAACCCTTTCATTAATAGTGAACGTTAGTCATTATGTATGGATTTTTATTTATTTCTGCTTGTCTTTATTAGGTATACCTAGTCCATTATTTTCAGCCTGGGACAGAAACACTCATTTCTGGAATGCATCCAGTTTCTTCAATCTGGCACGGGCTTGCTCACCTGTGTGTACCAGTACATGCATTTTCTCAGCCTTGGTTATTGTATTAGTCCATTCTCACACAGCTATAAAGAACTGCCTGAGACTGGGTAATTTAATAAAGAAAAGAGGTGTAATTGACTCATAGTTCCGCATGGCTGGGGAGTCCTCAGAAAACTTACAACCGTGGCAGAAGGCACATCTTCACAGGGGAAGAAAACTTGGACCTTCTTACGTGGCGACAGGAAAGAGAAGAGTCCGGAGCGAGGGTGAAAGAGCCCCTTATAAAACCATCAGATCTCATGAGAACTCACTTACTATCATCAGAACAGCATGAGGGAAACCGCACCCATGATCCAATTACCTCCACCTGGTCTGACTTTGACACCTGGGGATTATGAAGATTATAGGGATTATAAGTGAATAGGAGAACGGCATGGGGACACAGAGCATAATTGTATCAGTTATTTTCTCCACACTTCTTCATTGCACCTTTCCTTCTCTGTCAAGGCAACATCACCGTAACCCTTCTCTTACATATCTTCTCTGACTGTCCCTATTATTAAATAAACACCCTCATCTATGCTCCAATAATACACTATTTACTACTTCTTTTGACGCATTTATTAATCCTTCCATTCAATAATTGTTCACTGAACACCTCCTTTATATTTGGAACTGAGGGTATAATTGAAAGTAGTAATACCCGTGATGTTTTTCCTCCTAGAGTTAGGTCTGGTTTAAGAATTGCTCCTGCATCAGACATTTCAGACATATTAAATGCATATGTGTTTGTCGCCCTATTAGATTCTGAACTCTCATCTGGGACAGGAGCTGCATATCTGAGCATTTAGGGCTGGGGAAAGTGGTACTCAGTGAAGTTTTGACTGAATGGTTACCCAAAGAACTTTGCATTTGTTTAGTCTAATTCTCAATCAACTGACCAGTAAATCATTAGTAAACTATTCAATTATCTTGGTAGAGTTGGAAATATATTTTAAGTATTCTTGCAATGCAGTGTTCTGCATAAAATTAGAGCTCACTAAATCTTCTTTGATTAGTTGAAGGCCACTATGGATTCACCCCTATGCCATAATACATATGAATGAGTCTAATAATAAGATAAAGCGGTTATGTGTCACTGTTTCTGTTTACTGGGCATATTCGATTGAGTATGTAATCACACCTTAGCTCTAATGACATCAGGTCTGTGAATGTAAGGTTCTCTGTTCAGTGTCAAGGCATGGTCATTAACACGGACAATATAGATCAGCGAGCATCATATATAACTGCAGCTTCCAATATCTTGGTTCATGTTTTTAACACACATTCCCATAATTTCTCTCTTGCCCCAGTAATTAATAATAAGATTATCAAAAGCCATTCATTCAATGTTTGAAAGATGTAAAAGATGCCTCCCAATACATACTTAATGGGCAAAGGTGATGCTATGTTTGTTTTGATGGGGATGTTTATCTGCCAGTTATAATGAGAGCTCAGCAAACACATGATTGGCCTGTTACCAGCACATGAGATAAAAACATTCTGGAGGAAAAGAAGTCCTTATGCCTCACTGGTTCTGTCTCTATCAAGTAGACACCAAAATGCTTGACATTAGAGAGAAGAGGCATACATAAGGAACTACAAGAAGATATGACAACATTTTTTTGTTGGACTGAAAATTTTAAAGCTGATACAATATAAGCTCATGTATTTTGCAATCAACTAAGGAGTTACAATCATCTCTCACTTAATATTTTTACTATATCTTCGTAATATAATAACACTTTAGAATAACTTATATCTATTATTCTATATATCTATATTCTATATTCTATAATAAACATCTATTATATATAATTTATATCTATTACAATAATAATTTATATCTATTACTGCAGTTTCCATTTAACCTAAAAGTAAGCAATACTTGTGTGACCCAAAATAAGTAAAGAAAAAAGGATGCATTTTTTCACCATTTTATATATGGAGAAAGCTAACTTTACACAAGGTTAATAGACTAACACAGGGTGGTTAATATTACTGTGGTAGACAAAAGTTTGGCAGACCCAACTTTCATTTTCTAAATATGTTATCTTGTGTCTACTTTCACTTAAAATGATGGAGAAATTTTATACACATAGCCCCACCCTGTCTGCAGCAGAGGTGACTGGTGACATATTTTACTAGTATTATGGTTACCAGTATGGATTTTGAAGGCAAATGCTTGAGTTTAAATCCTGTCTCTTCTATCCACCAGCTATGTGATTTGGGGCACAGAATGACTTCACTGTATCTCAGTTCTTTCTCCTGTTGAATACGAATAATCTGAATAGCTACCTCTTAGATATGTAAACGAGTTATTATATGTGAAGTACTTAGAAAAATACCTGGCACGTAATACATGCTATAAAGGGAAAAGCCAGTATCATTACTTTTGTTGTTGTTGTGAATGTTGGCAAAGAAGATGGAATTGGAAGTCAACTTTAATATTAAGAAAGCTTTTACTTTGCTAATAAAATCAAAAGTTGTGGTTGGTACTACACCACCTTTCGAATAGCTACAGTGAATCTGGAATGGACGCCTGCAGCTGGAACACACAGGACGGACTTCTTATAAAAATGTAAACACTGGAGTGAAGTTCAAGAGAGTTGAAAAGAAGAAGCATTTGACATCAAGTTCTTACTGAACCCAAACCCATTATGTGTTTGAGACACTGTAATCGACTTATATGTTAGCTAAAATTGAAAGAATTCTTTACTGACATGCAGGTGAAGGGGTCCGAGAGACAAGATTTATTACCACCACAATTATCAAAATGTGTTCTAGTTACCATTGCTCAAGGGATGGACCAACTGGGAGTTGTGGAGACTCAATTCCCATTTTCCAAACACCTTATCCTGTGTGTATCTCCACTTAAAAGGGTGGAGAAATTTCATACATATACCCCCACCCTGTATGCAGGAGAGGTGATTGGTGACACATTTTTCTAGTGTCACTAAAAAGTTTCAAATATAGCTTCTGGGAATCTTATAAATCTTTTGGTGTCTTTTCTCAATCTTTTCTCAAATTTTAAATGTATGCATGTCATTGTTTTTCTATTTTTAAAAAAGGAGTTTGTTCCACAGATAACATTTATGTATTATCATATATTTTGACTATGACATTATGGTAATTGTCCAGTTCTTACATGTTAAGAGATCAACTTCATTTCTGAACCACTGATGATATCGCCAAGTTTAGAGACAAGTTTTTTTTTCGTATAGACTCTTTTATATTACCTGTGACATTTTAGTTTTGCTGTTGAAATGTATAAACTTGATACTCATGGGAGCCGGCCTTCAAGATTATGAATGCCTCACAGTATCCATGCCTTTGTACAATTTCTTCTCACATTGTACAAGATGTTGGGCTGTGTGACCAGTAGCATACAGCAAAAGTGATAGTATGCCACTTTCGAGATTAGGTCATAAAAGATAGTAGTTTCTGTCTCGGATGTTGTCTTGCTAGCTAGTTCTCTCTCTGATTATACATTCTTGGCAAAGCAAATTGCCATGCCTTGAGCACACTTAGGCTGCCTATGGAGAGGTTCACATGGCAAGGAAGAGAGGTCTATGGCCAAAAGTCAATGAGAAACTGACACCTGCCAACAGCCACATGAGTGAGCTTAGCAGATAATTATCCAGCTTCTGTCAAATCCTGAGATGAATGAAGCCTCAGCCAACAGCTTAACTGTGACCTTGTAAGACCCTAGACCAGGCTCCTCCCAGATTCTCAACCTTATAAACTGTGTGATATATACATGTTGGTTTTTTTTTTTTTCTTTTTTGAGACAGAGTCTCGCTCTGTCGCCCAGGCTGGAGTGCAGTGGTACAATCTCCACTCACTGCAAGCTCTGCCTCCCGGGTTCACACCATTCTCCTGCCTCAGCCTCCCGAGTAGCTGGGACTACAGGCGCCCGCCACCACGCCCGGCTAAGTTTTTGTATTTTAATAGAGACGGGGTTTCACCGTGCTAGCCAGGATGGTCTCGATCTCCTGACCTCGTGATCTACCCGCCTCGGCCTCCCAAAGTGCTGGGATTACAGGCATGAGCCACCGCGCCTGGCTCATGTTGTTTTAAACCATAAACATTTTATATTTTATTTATTTATTTAGCAACAATGTCAAAAGGAAAAAATAATATGACAAATGTAAATTACCCTTGGCAAAAGCTGGCGCATATTTAGTGTCTTATAAATCTGTGTCTCCTTCTTTTTAAAAAAAACATAAAACAGAACAAAACAAAACCCTGAAATCAAGTTTAGTAAAGGTACAAAACTGCTTTTCCCAAATTTTAAATGAATGCATGTCATTGTTTTTCTATTTTAAAAAATTGTTGATTCTTTTAAAAAGATACCTTAACACTCATGTATTATATAAAATATATAACCAAACTCTGAGGACAATTTATTTTCATTCATGTATATTGAATGTTAGGGGCCTACTCAGGCAAAACATAGTTGTAGTTTAATGTAACAGTGATGAATTACTGGAGTGAACTCATGCAAACAGGGAAATTGAAATTAAATTCATCACACCAAGGAAAACACTTCCTACCCATGTAAATTAGCAGCTTTTCCACTAAAATCAATTTGTTTTGGTAAATTATGCAAAAATGCTCAAAGGGCTTAGGTAAGTAATTTATTATACTTTTGGCTGTTTTATAATGTTTGGAAATAAAATGTATTCACACAGTATTAGATGGTATAAACTGAGAACTTTAGTGACAATTTTTGTTTATTACAATTAATTTAACTTTACTGAAGTGTCAGAACACCCACATTATGTGGGACATACAATATTTTTTTTGTGCTTGTACTTGCTTAGAAGTTGGTGCATTAAAAACCAAAACAAAACTTTTAAAAATGTAACTGTGTATGTTTAAAGTACTGATTAGTTCCTATAACATATTATGGCAAAAGTCAGTAATTTCAATGAAAAATGCCTTCAATGTTGTAGTTATAAGATAAGAAATTACCTTCTTAAGCCAGCATGAGAATACAGTTTTTCACAGGACTTTTGTACAATTAGTGGTGCAATTGAACAAGAATGTCTTTGTTTAGCAGGAATTATATGTTAGGATATCACCAAATCTAATGTGCACCTTTAAATCATATGGGATTTTCAATTACTCTTTTTAGCAGTGGAGTAAAGGGGTTATATTTAATAATTTATCTCTCTCTTACCCTATGTCCAGTTGTTTAAGTCATCTGCATCATTCTGCTTCACATATCTTTGTGACCCTTTATCCCACTATATGAAATCAGTTTTAGGAACATCATTTATTATCCAAACTACGGAAATAGTCATCTAATGGTCTCATACATCTCAACTTAATTACCGCAAATCATTTCCCACCTGGTGGGCAAAAATGATCTTAGCACACATGAAGTTGGAATGTCACTGCCTGAAATCATTTACTGGTTTCCTTTGCCCACACTATGTATACTAACCTTATAGGCTAACACACAAGACCTTCTGCATCTTCACATTAAGCTACTCATATAGTCTTTATCCTTCCTCTTGGCCCTTCCTTCCTGATACATCAAAGCCCTTGTCTATTGCAGAACATACCATCAATTTCCCAAAATATATCATTATTACTACCCTGCTTATGATAACATGCACTTCCCTTTATAAGGTGCCTCTCTTTTAAGATTAATAAAATGTAGATGACTTTACCCTTTTTAATCTTAATATGTTTTAGAGCACTTACAGTTATATCACTTGTTTGTTTTCTCTTCTTGCTCACTAGTTTGTAATCTCTATTAAGTCTAACACCATACTTCTTTGGTTCACCAGTAATTATATGTGTGTGTGTGCATTTGTGGCTATATGTGTGCACACAGATACGCATTTTAAATAGCATAAACTCTTTTCTACTAGCTGGTATTTTTTCTTTATCTTGCTTCAAATCCACCTTGCTTTCTCTTTGATCACCAAGGTTTTCACATTTCATGTATCTGATTACTTTCTGTATTTCTCACATTATTTGCTATCTATCTTAGCTAGCTAGCTAGTAGGTACAGATGCATATAGATAGAAAGATGGATAGATAGATAATCGATAGATATCACATAATTATGATGACAAATAAAAAATAATCATTATCTTGAAATTTACCACTGGAACCATCTTAGCTTATTTATATGTTAGGATCATTAGACCCACGTTATCTCGTAATTTGGAAAATAGATGGGGATAATCTATTTCTTTGTATATTTGAGAAAGCAAATGATTTTTAAAATAAATGACCACTTGGGAATGACTCCATGGTTTCTAATTACATTAGCATCCATTCTCCCAATGATTCTTAGGAAGATATGGGGATTCAGTGAAGCAAAATGTCCTTCTTCTCTACCCTACCCCTGAATATCGGGGAAGTGATCATAAGTGAAGATGACTTACAGGCTCAAGCCCATGACTCCAAGCATCACATCCTCTGTTTTTTCCACTCCATTAGGAAACCACAATCTAAATGTGAATCTGACTTTATTAAACATATGTATTTTTTAACAAGTCAATGAAATTTTGGCACATAAAGTTGAATCATGCTTCAATAAGGGACTCTTTCATTTCAAGAAATGAGTTGGTACTTTAAGTAATACAAATATTTCTTTTTTGATAATTAGAAAAATTAAAACATATATTAATGTTGTTTTTGGGGTATACAAGATTTTATATATACAGCTTACATAACAAGTCTAAAATATTAACATGAGAAGACTTCAAATTCAAAGAACCACGATTCAAAATCAAGCACTCAGGAATTTTTGCTGTTGTGTTTTTGTTGCTGTTGATATTTATTTATTTTTGCTTTTGGTTGAATGTACTGGGTAGTTAAAAATTTTGTTGTTCACTATATCATTTTTAATATAGTTATTTTTAGAAATGTTTACTGTCTAAACATGTTTTCCTTTCAGAATCACTACATCCAACACATTAATCATAATAAATTATGTCCTCAACAAAATTAATATATATGTATAAAATGTGATTGGCTCACATAAAAGTACAATTTAAACATTTAAGGAAAAAGAGCTTTAATTTTGAAGGTTTTTAGAATAATAATAATATCAAGTTTAAAGCTTTGTAAAGTTCATTGACAGTAAGTAATGTGTCTAAAGTGTGTAAATTTTTTAACTCTTACTTTAATAGTCAAGTTGTTGCTCTATTTAAGTAGCATGGGAAGTTTTCTAAAGCCTAAATCTACGGCTTTGCTCCACACTTCTGGCTTTCTCAGCTTCTCTCATTAATCTTGCAGTAAATGATGCTAATGCAGGAGTTGCAGGGTGTAACAGAGTCTGCTTATTCTCTGTTTGTGGTCCCCAATGGGTGTGAGGTTGTAGCAATTAAGGCAGTGTGTGTGCTGTTTTGAGGCACCACAAAGATAGATTAATTAGGTTGCAAATGGTCCCAGTGACATTGCCAAAGGAGCCTTTGATGGGCCTGGTCCAAGGTGATTTAGTCTGATGATATTGATGGATAGACAATCTTAAAAGGGAAATGACTATGAGAAGTAAAGGGGGAGCATCTGGTGTCTGTAACAATGAACACACCAGGGCTACAGTTGCCTGAGATGAAAATCCTTCTCGTTA